>NC_000010.11:54082489-54234004 GCF_000001405.40 Homo sapiens
GAAAGAATAGTCTTGTCAACAAACGGCACTGGAACAAATGGAAATCTATACGTAAAAGAATTAAGTTAGACTACTTCACTTCATACACAGCTATTACCTCAAAATGGATCAACAATTTTTCTAAACACAAGAATTGAAACCTGTAAACAACTCTTAGATAAAAACTAGAGGTAAATATTCATAATCTTGGATTTGGCCATGGATTCTTAGATATGACACCAGATGCACGGGAAGCAAAGGAAAAAATAGATATACTGAACTTCGTCAAAATAAAAAAAAAAAAACCTTTTGTGCATCAAGGGACATTATCGAGAAAGTAAAAAAAACAACGCATATAACTGGAGAAAATACTTACAAATCACATATCTGGTAAGAGTCTTATTTCCAGAATATATAAAGGATTACATAACTTAACATCAAAAAGAAATCCCAATTTAAAAATAGGCAAAAGACTCAAATACACATTTTTTCCAAAGAAGATATACAGGATATACAAATAATCAAAAAGCATATGAAAATATGTCATTAGTCATCAGGCAAATGCAAATCAAAACCCACAACCAAGTATCACTTCACACTCACTATGATAATTATATTTAAAAAAAGAAACAACCACCATTACTAACAACAACAACAAAAAATAATTGTTGGCAAAAATGGGAATAAATCAGAATCCTCATATATTTCTGGTGGGAATATAAAATGCTTCAATCACTGTGGAAAATATTTGACAGTTCCTCAAATGGTTAAAAACACATAATTACACTATTCCCTAGCAAATCTATTCAGTATATACTTAAAAAAGCCAAACACAGGTACTTAAATACACGTACATATATGTTCACAGCAGCGGTATTTGTAATACCGAAAGGTAGAAAAACAGCTTAAACGTCTATCAATTTATGAATAGGTAAACAAATTGTTGTATATGCATGTAATGGAATATTACGTAGCCATGAAAAGTAGGGACCTACTTGCACATGTTGCAAGACAGACGAATCTTGGAAACATTAGGCTACAAAAAAGAAGCTAGACACAAATAGTCACACATTGCATGATTCCATTTCTGTAGAATATTCAAAGTAGGTAACTTGATGAAGCCAGTACGCAGATTGGTGTTTGCCAGGGGCTAAGGGAAATAAGGAATAGGGAGCAATTGCTAAATGGGTTCAGGTTTCTATTTGGAGTGATGAAGCTATTTTAGAACTAGACAGAGTTGGTAGGTGCATGAGTTCTGAATCTCCTAAACAACACTGAATTGTTCACTTTAAAATGGTTAATTTTGTGCTATGTGAATTTTGCCTCAATTATATAAATTATATTGCAGAGTATTTTCCATCACCAAGCTTTTGGGCTACGTTCCTGAAACATATTATGCTTGGCATACTCAATTATTATAGAAAATAGGGTTTGCCTAACTATAAAAATGGTGTTCAAACATAATTTAAAAATTTGGCCAGGCGCGGTGGCTCACGCCTGTAATTCCAGTACTTTGGGTGGCTGAGGCAAGAGGATCACAAGGTCAGGAGATGGAGACCATCCATCCTGGCTAACACAGTGAAACACTGTCTCTCTCTTTTTTTTTAATGTGCACTTTTTTTTTTTTATTTTTTTGAGACAGAGTCTCTCTCTGTTGCCCAGGCTAGAGAGCAATGGCATGATCTCCGCTCACTGCAACCTCCACTTCCCAGGTTCAAGCGATTCTCCTGCCTCAGCCTCCTGAGTAGCTGGGATTACAGGTTCCCTGGGAGCTTATTTAAAAGCTCTGTGCCATCAGTTTTCCCTTCTGTCAAATGGGAAAGTGAAACCCCATCTCTACTAAAAATACAAAAAATTAGCCGGGTGTGGTGGTGGGTGCCTGTAGTCCCAGCTACTTGAGAGGCTGAGGGAGGAGAATCCCTTGAACCCAGGAGGCGGAGGTTGCAGTAAGCCGAGACCATACCACAGCTCTCCAGTCTGGGAGACAGAACAAGACTCCATCTCAAAAAATAAAAAAAATAAAAAAATAAAAATTATCACCTGTAGTCCCAGCTACTTGGGAGGCTGAGGTGGGAGGATCACGTAAGCCTAGACTTTTGAGACTAGCCTGGGCAACAGAGTAATACCCAGTCTTAAGAAAATTCAATGATGTAAATAGAAAGTAGCAGAGGATATCTACTTCCAAACAAAACAAGCTACCGAATTTAAAACCTGCTTCTATAAGTAACTGTTTTTCAAAATTCCGTTATTAGGAAATACCGATGCAGCATCATTATAAACTATTATCTCACATATTTCATGATGTATAGGCTTTGCTTATTTAAAATTTTGTTAAAAATTCTACAGCTTGTGACTGAACATTTACACTTGGAGGTGTCTGAGCCTTTGACAGATTTATCACATTGCTTTTGGGCACTGAGTTTCAGGCTTTACAATGATATTTAAAGAGATTAGAGTATACTTTAAAATGTACAGTTGCTTCAAGTTTGACATGGCATTTCATATTAAATAGCAATTAGCAATTAACAAAAACCTACTAATAAAGGGAGCTAGGTATTGACAGCAGTTTGGGGAAAAGATGATGGTGGCATGAACTAAGGTAGTAGAGTGAAGTGTGAGAAATAGTTTGATTTGGGTTTAATATTTTGAAAGTAGAGCTGAGCTGTCAGGGAATAAAATAAATATCTTTCTTATATATTATTTAATTTTCAATATAATCATAAAATTCAAACTGATATGAAAAATATAATTGAGCATTACATGTAATGTCAAAACAAATTAATCACCAAAGAAAAAATTAAAATGCAAGTGAAGAAAAAAAATTTTAATAGAATTTGGACCAGAGATGGAGATAATTTTTGAAATTCTCTTATTTAGCACTGATTTTAAGTGTTGGCATCACAGACCCCATGCTTCAGTGATAACAATCCATAAATATTTGAGAGATGGCATTTCCTCAACCTCCCTTAATAAATAACTATACCATTAGGCCATCATATTTATAAGGGAAGTTGCCATATATCTTATTTAAATGTGTACTTATTTGTGGATGATTGCTGAGTGAATATTTGCTAAATCATATGCCACTATCAAGACAGACACTATGAAAAGATACTAGAAAAATGCATTATATTAGAATCATACAGATATGGCCACTTAATACATGACACTGAATGATTTGTATTACCAATGTTTGTGATTTTTAAAAAACCAAGGCTTTTTCTTTAAAGACCCAGTTTCTTTCTTGGCTGTGTGACTAAGCCAATTTATTAAAATAATAATTCAGTACTTTGTAAAACCCTACTGACATTAAGATGATTATTCATTACTACTAATTTTTTAAAAGAAATACAAGAAAATTTTGGCATACTTTTATTTCATTAAAGGAAAGTAATGGTATTATAATGATGCGTATTGAGAGAATTTGCATTATAGCATAAAATAATATGGTATTTAAAGTATACAATAGACATGTAAATATTTTTTCATTTTGCTTTAAGATATAAAATATAACCCAAATAGCATATATTGAAGTGTCTGATGAGGTAGAACATTGTTTATTTTTTTAGCGTACCTGTCTTAGTCCATTTGTGTTGCTATAAAGGAATACTTATGGCTGGGTAATTTATAAAGAAAATAAGTTTATTTGTCTCACAGTTCTACAGGCTGTATAAGAAGCATACTGCCAGCATCTGCTTCTGGTGAGGGGCTGAGAGTACTTCCACTCATGGCCAAAGGTGAAGGGGTGCTGGTGTGTGCAGAGATCACATGGTGAGAAAGGAAGCAAGAAAGGAGGGGTGGTGCCAGGCTCCTTTTTTACAACCATTTGTTGTGGGAACTAATAAAGCAAGAACTCATTCATTACCTCTGGTAACAAGCCATTCATAAGCGGTCTGCCTCCATGACCCAAACAAATCCCATTAGGCCCCATCTCCAACATGAGGGATCGAATTTCAAAATGAGGTTTGGAGTGTCAAATATCCAAACTATAGCAGTACCTGGATTGTTCATATCCTTGAAAGTTATAGAGAAGTGGTAGTGCAAAGTTTTGAACATGAATCTCAGAAGTTTCAAAGAAGGTGGCAGTTGAAATGTCAGTTATTGTTCTCCATTTCAAATGCATTGAAATGTATTGCTAGTGGTTCAGGCTACTCTATAAATATCAATGAGAACAACAGCATTGAGGTGGTGGAAACAAAGTGACCATAGGATAGAAGGCAAAGGGCCCAGTGTACAGGACCCTGAATCAAGAATGATCATCAAAAGGGATCACACAACCATTATAGGGACATGTTCTGCTTTAGCTTTCCTGGAAGCAGTTTGTGTCTTAAGGAGATGTCTGTCCAGGTTGACCTAAGAGCTTTAACATTAAGAATCATGGTCAATTTAGACTAAAAGGATTTTGCATTGACATAATTTACACCTTTAAGAACCTCTGTGACCCAGCCATTATCTTTTTCATTCCAAATGCAGAGATGAGAGGAGCACTAGAGATATAGGAAAGCAGTGCATTTAGATAATTTATTTGGCAAAACTAGTAGCTCACTGGATTTCACAATCAGCAATTGAAAAATCTCTTGGCATCAAGGGAAAAACAGGAATAGAAATTCTTAAGAGACCTGGGCTTCCTGCTTACCAGAGCAGGTGAAAACTTCATTGTTGTCTTTTTCTTTTGTTGACAGCTTTGTTAACATTTTAATTCAGATATCATAAAATCCACCAATTTAAAGGGTACAATTCAATGGTTTTTAGCATAATCGCAGAGTTGTTCAATCATCACTGTAATCAATTTTAGAACATTTTCAACACCATATCTATTAACAGTCACTCCCCATTCTCTCCCACTCCTCATTTTCAGGCAATCATTGATCAACTTTTTATCTTATAGATGTGCCTATTATGAAAATTTTATAGAAATGAAATAATATAATACGTGCTCTTTTTGCAACTGACTTATTTCACTTAGCATAATATTTTCAAGGTTCATACATGTTGTAGCATGTTTCAGTACCTCATTACCTTTTATTGATGAGTAATATTATATTATTACAGACAGGCAACATTTTGTTTATTCCTTCCTCTGTAGATGGATATTTGACTTGTTTCCACTTTTGTACCATTGTAAATAATTCTTTTATGAACTTTCTTTGTGCAAACTATTATGTAGATGCACGTCTTCATTTCTCTTGCATATGAGCAGAATGCTGGCTTATGCGGTAATTCTGTTTACCATTTGGAGAAAAGGCCAGTTCTCCAAAGTGTAGTCATAGTTTGAATCCATGTCCTTGCCCAAATCTCCTGTCAAATTGTCACCAATGTAGGAGATAGGACCTGCTGGAAGGTGATTGGCTCATGGGGGCAGTTTCTCATGAATGGTTGAGCACCACCCTCCTTGGTCCTGCTCTCTTGATAGAGTTCAGGAGATCTGCCTGTTTAAAAGTGCGTGGCACTTCCCCTCCCTCTCTCTTCCTCCTGCTCAGGCCATGTGAAGCGCTGACTCCCCGCTTTGCCTTCAGTCATGACTTTTAAGTTTCCTGAGGCTTCCCCAGAAGCAGAGCAGGTGCCAGCATCATGCTTCCTGTATAGCCTGCAGAACCGTGAGGCAATTCAACCTCTTTTCATTACAAAATACTCAGTCTCAAGCACTTCTTTATAGCAGTGCAAAAACGAACTCACACATGCACATTTTACATGGCCACATAAATTTACGCAGATTTCAGTATCTCCACATTCTTAGTCATACCTGGTTTTGCCTTTCTTTATCACTACAGACACAAAGTATGTATGAAGTCAAATCTCTTTACAGTTTTAAATTGCATTTCTCTAATGACAAATGAACAGTGATCGTGATCATATTTCCATGTGCTTGTTGGCCATTCACATATCCTTTTTTAAAGAAATATCTATTCAAATATTTTGCCCATTTTAATTAGATTATTTCTCTTTATTAAGTTGTAACAGTTCTTTATGTATTCTTGAGACATGTTTCACACCATATACATTATTTTAAAATATTTTCTCTGATTGTAGGTTGTTTCTCACTTTAGGATGGTGCTCCTTGAAATACATTTTTAAAAATTGACGAGACCCAATTTATCAATTTTATCGTTAATCTTTGTGCATTTTGTGTCATATCTCAAAATGTACTGACTAATCCAAATAATGAAGATTTACTTCTGTATTTTCTTCTATGTGGAATGCAGTTTTATCTCATATATTGCAATTTATGATCCACTTTGAGTTCATTTTTGTGAATGATGTGAGATAAAAATTGAAATTCATTCTCTTGCATATTGTCCCAGCTTCATTTGTTGAAACAAAGTTCTTTCCTGATTGGATTATCTTGACCCCTTTTTGAAAATCAATTGACCATAAATACTAGAGTTATTTCTGGATTCTTAAGTCTGTCCAGGTGCTTATATATCTATCTTTATGCTAATACTACACAGCCTTGCTTAAAGTTTTTAACATTTTTATTTTCTTTAATGATGATTGTAAATTGTAGCTAATTTTTGATTTCTACATCCCTATGAGATAAAAATGAAAACAGTTAAGGCTTTTTATTTTTCAAATAGAAGTTTACTTATCTGTGGAAAACACTGTTCTTGTCTATAGTTTCCCAGGCATTACTAACTCATGTTTGTAAAATTCTATTTAACGTGAAATTTCAGGTATTTCTGGGAAGACTAATTGACCAGCACATGGTTCTCTTGTTTTGGCATTATGCCCCACATGTTCCTGAGTCTGATGTGGCAATGTATTCATTTGTCAAAGTTTTAACTTTATAATCATTGGCCAAGTTTACATTTCTATTCCTTCTGAAAGTAAAACTATTCACAGGTACACAGGAAATATCAGGGAAGAGCCAAGCTCTTTAGAAACCAGCCACATGTGACAGCAGAACAGCTACCTTGCTATTGCAAAAGGGAAGCATACAGTCTCTCTGAAGCCCTAAATGCCTCCTTTTAATGCCTGCTCCCAGTTTTCTCAATAGTTATCATTAGCAATATCTCAGATGTATTCAGAGAGATAAGTAGAATGACACTGATCTAGACCTCAAAGAAGTTTGGCATGAACACGTATTTTATTTCATTGTGCTTTTTTTCTTAAATATACCTATGTTAATCTGAAATTGAAGGATGTGTTTGTAACACATCTTGCCTACAAGCCTCCCTTTGAATACACAGTTTGGTGCTAAGTAACCCTTTGTAGTAATGTCCTTGTCATTATCAGTAGCTGACAACATTAAAAGGATCTAATTAATCCCAGTTGTGCCTTCCAATGAAATGTTTCCACCTCAGTAGATTTTACCTAGTAAAAATGTTAAAAATAAACAGTCTCCTGGGTAATATTTCTGGGCTCAGAATTATCCTCCCAGCTACCATTAGCATTCATAGAAAACAGAAAGGGAAGTACAACTACAAACAGCTGAAAGCCTCTGATTAGAAGTCTGCTTTCTTACTAACAGTACGTTGCTGTACATTTTTTTAAAGTAGGAAATCATTTTTAACTTACGTTTCTGAAAGATTAAAAACTCTCTGAGGATCTCCATTCTCAATGGCATATGTTATTGAGTCTCCCTCTCGATCAGTTGCCTTCAGAGAGAAAACATAATTCAATTATCAAGTAATTGATATGGCGCCCACTCATTACAGAGTAATATAAAAGCTTGAAACTAATAGCACAGAATGTCCATGACACTGTTAAAGAATAAAGATTAAAGCATGGCCTAATGGCAAGGTGTAAAATCAAACATTTCGTATCTGATCCATTTCTGAATATGTAATCCTACCTGATGTGGAAATAATCATTTTCCCAAGGTTTACTTATTTAATTAACTTAATTAATGAATTTAATTTCAATGTCTGTTTATAATTTAAATAAAAGCTGCTGGCTGGGCACAGTGGCTCAAGCCTGTAATCCTAGCACTTTGGGAGGCCAAGGTGGGCGGATTACCTGAGATCAGGAGTTCAAGACTAGCCTGGCCAACATGGTGAAATCCTGTCTCTACCAAAAACACAAGAAGTTACCCGGGTGCAGTGGTGCACACCTGTAACCCCAGCTACTTGGGAGGCTGAGGCAGGAGAATTGCTTGAACCCGGGAGGCAGATGTTTCAATGAGCTGAGATCATGCCACTGCACTCCAGCCTGGGCAACAGAGCAAGATCTTGTCTCAAAAAAAAAAAAAAAAAAAGTGCTAAACTATGTTTACAGTGTCGATAAAGTGTTTAATGTATATTCTTTTCTTTTTCTGTTCAGAATATATCAAGACAATAATTCAAATCAGTCTAACTTTCTGGTTAAAAATCCTGAATTTATAGCCACAAAGCATGACTTCAAAACCGGGCTCCAATTGTCCTATGTGATTATTTCTGTGTATCCATTTCTAAAACGAGGACTATACAACAATACAAATGTTAATAGATGTTGAGAGGTTTAATTGAAATAATATATATCAAGGCACATAGACTAATATCTGGTACATTGTAAGCTTTCAATAAATATTAACCTTTTTGTTGGTTTTTCTTCCCTTCAACACCCAAGTCGGAGAAGAAAACATATAGTTTGACTTTGAGTTCCGAGTTTCTCTTGACCAAAATAAAGATGCTCTTGTTTTATGGCACTGAGGTCTGGAGTTTTACCTTAAAAAACATCAAATCAGTTCTTTTTCCAGTGAGTCATTCGATCCTCTTATAAAAGACATGGATAAAGAAAGAAATTTGGATGCTATCAGAGAGTTGACAGAATGATCTGCCTAAGCATGATGCTACAGGGGGGGATATATCTGATAAAGGTTCAGATGTATTTTATTTTTAGGTGACTAGCCTGGCAGAAACACCAGCCTCTCCACAGACAGGAACTGCCCTGGAGTCAGCAGGATTCTGAGAGAGGAATAAGTATGTGAGTTTCTGTCAGTGACTACATAATAACTGTCCCAGCCATAAGAGGCTGAGTGTGAAATTCCCTGTCCAGACAGGCAGGAACGTATTGTTCTTAGTGGTAGATCAGTTGGCTTTGACATGGATTACACAGTCCTGCTCACAGAACGTCCTTATCAGCTACCACAATGGATTGATGGCCAGAAGCCTCTCTTGGACCACAAAAACTACAGAATCAAGGGAAACTGAAAATAATATTTCAGTCAGTAATAAACTACTGAATATTGACTATGTGCTAGGTTCTGTAAGAAAATCTTTGCAAGATTATTTAATCTGTCTCTCATAAAAGTGATATACTTCCTTCGCATGGCTCCTATGACATCATATTGTCCTGCTTTCAATCCTCACATTATCAATGGTAGTTCCTCATTTTCCTTTGCTGATTTCTCCTCATTTTATAAGACTTATTTTATATTGGATTGTTCCAAAGGTTGGTCCTTGAACTTCACTTATTTAGTCAACTCATTCAACAGTGTAGCTATAAATACTGTCTATCTGCTGAAGACGGTCATATCTCTAGGCTAGCCCTTTCCTCTGGATTTCAGATGTGTATCCAATTGCCTACATGGATCCACATTAGATGAATAATAATAAGCCTCCCCAATTTAAAAGGTTAAAAGCCCCAAATCTAGATCTCCTTTCCATCTTGACGTACCTCAAAAAATAAAAGAAATTCAAACAATAATCTATTGTTTTCACTGCTTCATCATCTCAGTAAGTACCTGCAACTCCATCCTCCTACTTTCTCAGGGCTCATAGCTACACTTTGAGGGCTCACTCTTACATTCCAATGCAACCCATCAGCAGATCCCACCAGATTTACCTAAAATATCTGCTGTATCTGGCTGTGTCTGAATTTCTTCTCTGCCACCACCTTCCTCATGGATTATGGTAGTAACTATTTTACTAACGTGTTGCTTCTTCCCTTGTATCCTCACAATAGTCAATTTTCAATTCAGCAGACAAAAGTACTTGTTTTTCCAGGCCAATTCTTTTATTTCTTTGGGGTAAAGTCTATTGCTTTCTCCCCCAGCTCCCCACCCTCCCCATGCCATACACACTAAAATAAAATGGAATCAAAAAAAGTAAATGAAGAAGAAAGTAATAAATTAGCCAGGGTAAAATATTTTTGAAACATCCCATGTTAGTCAAAATCCAAAATTTTATATTTCATTGAGTTAGTCATAATGGAAGCCTAGGAGTAGAAAAAAAAGAAGCAAACAAATTTCTAAGAATACACTCAATAAAATGGATAGTAGACGCTTGATATTTTTCCCTTGCATTCTGTTCTTTGCTAGATAGGAACCACAAATAATGATACTCAGCTAACATTTTGAAGAATCAGAGAATTATATCTGGAGACTATATCTTAACCCCAAAAAGCTTACAGTGAACTTTTTCTGTTGTTTTTCTCTCGGTCAATAAATTTTTCTTATTATGTTGTTATAGATATGATCATGTTCTTTTGGTTTGTTTATTGATATGTGGTTGCTGTTTTAATTTTTTTCTTGAGAAACATTTTATAATCTTGTGTTTCATAAAAGCCAGAAGAAATGCATTCTGAAACAAGATAGCTTCATGTAAACAATTTTAAGACCAGATTAATATCGAATCTTTTATTATATCAGATCTACTCTAATATTTAATATCCTTTATGTAAGATGAGAACACTGTATTTATATTTATTATTTTTATGTTAATTCCTTTCAATCCCAGAGGTAGCTTGAAATATTTCTTCAGTTTTATTTGACCACTCAAATACCTCAGTCTTTTAAGGATTGTGAATGTCAACAATTTGCCTACTTCATTCTTATGTGAGGTTATGCCCATATTGGAAACTTTGAAGACTTAGGATTTAAAAGAAAATTCTTATTTGATTCCTTTCTTCATTTTTATCTTTTCACACAATCCTTTATTGGTGTTCCAGGGTCGAGGGTGGTATAATAATTAGGAAGTATTTATAGTTTTTCAGCCAAGAAAGCAAAAGGAAATGGTGTAATCTGTATCAAAGTTCTGCAATCTATGCATTACATGAGTTAGCACTTGTATAGACAATATCATCTTTCTTTGTCAATGTCCAAAGGTGAGAAATAATCCATAAAAAGAAAAATTGGAAATATCAACAGAAGCATTTACCCTTCAAGTATTAGGATTTGATTATGTGTGTATATGTGCCCTAAACATATTTCTATCAGCAATATTTAAATGTTTTCTATATATAAATCTAACCAGCCATCTCAAAATAATTGCTTATAATGTGTCAGAAACTATATTAAAATTTTGCATGTCTTGTCTCATTTAAACCTAATAGTAACTTTACTGGTAAATAGAAAATGCATATGACTTCAATTATATTACTATTTCTGCCATCATTCCAACCAGATTTCTCTGTACTTTAATTAATTGAAAGATGCATCTTTTTTATCTAGAGATAGTAATAACTGTATCATCTTGAAAATGGGAGCATAGTGTTATTCAGTATTTTCCATAATATAAGAGATATAAATTGCTTCTTTTTAGTGAAAAAACATTTTATGTGCTTATTTTTGATAAATCAAGTCATATCCGAGTCCCTTCTTCAAAGCCTGAGAAAAGTATGACAGCAGTTATCTTTCTGGGGCTTATTTTGAGTTTAACGGGGGAGATTCTGGAGCCAGCTACCTGGATTCAGCCTCAGCTATACTATCTCTTCTCAGACAATGCACTCAAGTACAAAATGAGAATACTACTACTACTACTTAATCACTCATTAATTCAACAAATATTTATTGAGCATCTACGCTGTGTTAGGCACTGAGGCTGCAGCAGTAAACCACACAGACAAAAATCCTGCCCTTATACAATTTACATGGTAGTGGAGGAAAATGAAGTTAAAAATTAATTAGAATATTTTGTTTTCAGATCTTTATACGCGTTGCTCAACTACAAAATATTTCACAAAGGACATATATGGAGAGCAGGGTGAGGATTTACACTTATAGAAGTGATCATGACAGACTTACTGAAAATGTGAAATTTTGGCAAATGCTTGTAAAAGGTGAAAGAGTAAGTCACGTGGGGAAGAACATTCCAGGAAGAGGGCAGAGCAAGTGATAAAGGCCGTGAGGTGAAAACAGGCCTGGTGAGTTTCAAGAACAACAACGAGGTTGTCAGGTCTGGAGGCAAGCAGCATGTGGAAGAGGAGCTCCTCAGTGTACTTCGACCACTTTAATACCTCAGGTTAAACGAATAAATGATGTGTATTTTGGATAGCTGGCAAGTAATGCACTTTAGCCACTGGTTTGCTAATATATGGTTAATAACATGGTTAAGATTAAAGCCAATCTTTCCTTTAATTTTTATTTAATTTAATATAATTTTAATTTTGCCTGAAGAACAAATGATTCCTTTAAAAATCAAAGCAATTACTCTTTCCAGTCCACTCAACCAGATTACTTGCAGCATCTGACTTAGAGTCCCTGATTTTTCAGAAGCACCAATAGGGAAACAAAAGTATTTATCCAAGGAAGCAGTGTTCTTAGACACTGGCAAATGGAAAATTTGGAAAAGAAAACAAATTTTCTCTAAACTAATCTTCTGTTCATGTTAAAGATGAATACAGCCATCAAATACCGTCTGATAGAGTGCATTTTATGTGCAAGGAATGATTCTACACATTTCACAGGACATTAAGACAAAGTAACTGCCCTTAGGGATTCTAAAATAGATAAAAATCAATGGATTTGGATGATTTTCTCACTTAGGCAAACAAGTTCTGATTTATGTTATTAAACCACTTGAGAGCAACAAATAAAGCTTTCAATTCAGTACAGCAGTGTTTCAAAAAATGTATACATTCATTCCTGGTATTACATTTTTTGGCCTTTAACAAAATGTTATAATATTTAAATAAAAATTAATGAATATATTTTATTCATGTCAAGTACTGTTATTTTGTCATTCATAATGATAATATAAAATGTTATTTTGAAGTAAGTGTAAGTAAAAGGTCAGTTCATTAAATATTCCAAACAATATAAAATGAATAATATTATATAGAATATACATATAACATATATGAAACTTGGAAATGTAGCTAAATCTACAATGACAAAAATATAAATATGCTCAAAAATAAAAGAATGTTGGAAAACTGCACACAGGAGAGCCATAAAACAGCTCTTTTTCTTACAATATTGGTATGGATTAATGATCTTTTGCCCAGGAAGCAAAATAAAATGCCTTATGCTAAGAAGGCATAGCAGAATCACTGCTGGTAGTGTTGAAAATAAATGGCATTTGGAAGTGAGCATAAATTTATTTGTCACATCCAGAGAAGTGTCTGTAAATTAAGAAGTCCTTAATAGGAAAAATACCTAGACTTCCGTTAGATTTAGGGATACTCTATGAAGGCTTAGTCTTAAAAAAATTTTGTTGTACAAAATGGGTAACCTTGGAATACAAAGAGATTTAATCAATTCTAAAATAAGCCTGCAATTCTAATTTTGTCTAGGGCTCAAGGAACAATCAACAAAATAAACTTAGAACTAATGTAAATATTCAAAATGACGCATCCAAATAATGGTTACCATTATGTATTAAGCACTTTTAATATCCCATCTCATTTAATCCTCAAAACAATCTTCTCTGGAGAGCACTACAATCCCTATTTTACACATAATAAAATCTTAAGCTTAAAAATTAAATAATTTGCCAAAGTTTACAAACTATAGAATCATAATTCATATTCTATGCCTTTTGAAACTCATTTTCTATCACTAGCAAAGTCCCCTATGTCCTAAACTTATCTCGAGTTTCCCTTCACCTGCTTGCTTGAACCAACACCAAGTTCTTCTTAAGAACCCTAATTTCCCAGTATCCCTTTTGATTGGTGAGCCTCAGAGTAGCCTTCTTGTTTCTCAATGTCACTGCCAGATTATTCTTCTGGAAATGCATCAGCTTTAATTCTTATACCATAAGCATTATACTGCATTAACTGCTACTCTTCATTGTTAAAGTCATACTCTACACTATTTATCATACTTCCTGTTTTTTGCTCATTGTCAGTCTCTCTCTTTGCCTGTCATTGCTGTCATTGTCAACTTAATCCAATATCAAAGTTTCAAATAATATGTAAAATGCTAATGACTTCAAAATTGTATTTCAGTTCTGGGGCTGAGAGATTCAAGATCATGGCACTAGCAGATCCCATGCACCTTTTGTGGTCTGCAGACAGCTGTCTTCTCATTCTACACTTACATAGTAGAAACAGAGAGCTCTGGTTTCTTCATTCCCCATAAGGGCACTGAATGCCATTCATGAGGACTCCACTCTCATAGCCTAAGTATCTCTAACTACCAAATGTCCTACTTCTAAATACCATCACGTTGGGGATTTTGGCTTCAATATGTGAATTTTGGGGGAACACAAACATTCAGTCCATAGCAGATGTCAAAAAGTCTTTTCAAATACAGTATGGCCAATATTGAATTACTCTTTCTCTAACAGTCTTTTAATTTTGGCTAATGACAAATCAATGTTTCCAGTTACTCAAGCTGTATCTTAATACCTATTCTTAACTTCTATCTCCCCTTCTATATCCAATTCATTAACAAATCATGTAGTTTTTAACCACCAAAATATAACCAGATTGAAATGACTTCTCATTATTTCTGGAAAGATCACTCCAGGCCTAGAATGTGCTGACAGAGCATATCAACAACTCTCCATAATTTTTCCCAGGCTTCTTCCACAGACCATTTTCAATGCAGCATCCAGGATTATCCTTTGTTAAATTTGGTTGATTATGTCACTGCTATACTCAAATTTTTAACTGTACCTAATTTCGTGCAGAGTAATTATATCTATCCCTCTCCTATTACTGAATGATTTCATCTCTACTACTGTCTGTTTCTTTTACTTTACTCTGTAAGGAGGAGTATTTTTCTTCTTCCTTAAACATATCAGGTGTGTCTAAACTTCGGGGTCTTACCTTTGCACCTGAAATACTTTTCCTCAGATACAACCATGGCTCATCCTCTCACCTTATTCAACTATTTGCTGTAAGGTCACTTTCTTTGTGAAATAATCACTATCAAATTGTATTTTCCCATGCACTTCCTCTCTAGCTTTCCTTCTTTCATTTTCCCCATAACATCTTCTAAAATTCCACATAACTCACATATATTTTGTTAATTTTCTTCTCTATTAGAATGGAACCTTCATAAAAGCAGAAATTTTGTCTTTTTTATTTACTATTATATCCTAGCATTTTTAGTTGTGACACCATAAGAAGTTAATATTTACTTGTCATTTGGTCCTTGCAAAGTTATAAGCCTTAATGATTACATTATAATGAGAAAAATGAATGAAAGAATTTTGGAAAAATGAAAAAGGAAGGTATTAAGTGGACACAGGTCTCTCCCTGCTCCTGTTTTCACTGGGAGGCAGGAAAATGCACACCTCAGGAGGGGAGGGCATGGGACATTCTGGCTTCTCCCTGATTTATTAGACTGCAAGGATAAACTAAGTCCAGGAAACTCAGTCAGAGCTCTGTTCTGTATATGCACATTCTTCCTCAGTATCATAAAGGGCCTTCCTTTGTACTTCCTATGACTGGGAGCCTAACTTTAATATACTGAAGGAAGTACAGCATTTCAATTGTATCTGGTACTTGAAGCAACTGAATTTACAGTAAAACAAAACAAAACAAACAAAAAAAGAAACCCCACATGCTTTTTACCTATTGTATATACTCTGTGTGTCTCTATTAATTGCTTCCAAACTTGACAGAGAAAATAAAGTTGTGTGTGTGTGTGTGTGTGTGTGTGTGTGTGTGTGTGTGTGTCCTATTCTACATTTTCAGAATACCTGTCCTAGGTTAAACACATTCCAAAAGACTGTTAGGGAACAGTTTGTTCTGGGCACACTGATATAAATATTTCAGTTATCTTTATTTATAATTATTAAAAAATTTGCTATCACCTTCATGAATATTGGACATGAATATTCATTGCTAACATGAATGGCTCAAGATAAAGGAGGTTATATGAATAAACTATATGAAACCAGGAAGGCTTTTGTCATCTGGAATGATGCTGAAAAGATGATTCCATAAGTATGAATTTAGCCCAATTATTCTTAGTTTTTATTGCCCAATACTAACTGTAACATTACCCTGAGAGCTGTCTCTAGAATAGTGTTTGGTTTGCCTAAATTGAACTTAAAGAAAAATGTTGTCAGGCCTCTGAAAGGACAAATCTTACTTGCTAATAAATATACTGTGCATAGTAGTATTTGGCCTGAGACAAACTTTTCCAACCTTTCTATGAAGGTTGTGACAGAGAATCCTAGCCCTCTTTTACTACTACTTATTCGTGGCTATTGATACTTAGAATCTAATTATTGTGGAAAGACAATTGGCTTTGGTCAGTTTACAGCCCTCAACATTTAATGACAAACCAAATAGAAAAAAATCAGAATCAACATTTCTGTCATTAAAAAAATTTCTTCATGATACAGCTCTTGTCCAGATTTATATAAATAGAAGTTTATTTGTTCTTTGTTTTAGAACTATGAAAAACTGGACACCTACGAAGCAATTTACTTAAACTCTTAGAATTTAGTTCAAGGTTTTCTCAAAGCTTTCCTCAGAGCCTACTCACTTTTCTAACTAGTTAGATTTCTCAGCCTTCACTAGATAAAAACCAGATATGTAAAATAATAAAGTTATCCGGACACAGGCAAACAGTGAATGAAATCAGTACACAGTGAATGGCTTGACAGCTGTGAGAGAAGTAGACAGAAAGTGCACCTTAAAAACAATAGACACAGGCTGGGCGCAGTGGCTCACGCCTGTAATGCCAGCACTTTGGGAGGCCAAGGCAGGCAGATCACGAGGTCGGGAGATCGAGACCATCCTGGCTAACATGGTGAAACCCCATCTCTACTAAAAATACAAAAAATTAGCTAGGCATGGTGGTGGGCGCCTGTAGTCCCAGCTACTCGGGAGGCTGAGGCAGGAGAATGTATGAACCCAGGAGGAGGAGCTTGCAGTGAGCCAAGATCACTCCACTGCACTCCAACCTCAGCGACAGAGCGAGACTCCATCTCAAAAAAAAAAAAAAAATATATATATATATATATAAAACAAAAAACAAAAAAACAGATAAAACAAGCATAGTTATCAAAGATCAATTGTCCATTAAGCCCCACACATCACAGCACTACTTATAGATAAAAATATGTAATCCAATTTAGGAACTATTAATCACACAATATTCTGAATTAAATAGACAAAAACAAAGCATTAATTTGATGCCCATTATAAACAATATATGTACTGCTAGAAATGAGAAATAATATAAAACTATTCAATATAGCCCCTACCTTGAGAAAATATTAATCTTTGTGAAATAAACATTGAGAAATAGTGTTCACTATATGCTGGTTAACTGTGCATTTGTAAAAGTAATCCAGGTCTAGTATCTACAAGATTAAGAACCTAGTCTTAATTCTCTCACTTTTAGCCACCTAGGGTCTAGGGAACTAGCATGTATCCCTAGACATCTATTCTAAATCATAAAATGAAATAAAAAATACTTCAAGCATCTACTTTATGTAGTAGATATAGAATCAGATGAGGTAATAGATATTTAATACACTTCAGAATTCCATTCAAATAGAAGGTATTGCTCAGTGGTCGGGCATGGTGGCTCATGACTGTAATCCCAGCACTTTGGGAGCCCAAGGCGGGCAGATCACGATGTCAGGAGTTTGAGACCAGCCTGACCAACATGGTGAAACCTGTCACTACTAAAAACACAAAAATTTGCCGGGCGTAGTGGTGTGCATTTGTAATCCCAGCTACTCAGGAGGCTGAGGCAGGAGAATCGCTTGAACCCGGGAGGCAGAGGTTACAGTCAGCCAAGATCACATCATTGCACTCCAGCCTGAGTGACAGAGCAAGACTCCGTCTCAAAAAAAAAAAAAAGTATTGCTCAATAAATTAATTTAATAGTTAAAATCTTAGGCTTTGGAGTGAAAAGAAATAGGAATGAAATGGGACTCTTTCACTTATAAGCCACATCCTCTTTGAGCAAGATTTAAGGTATTTATATCTCAGTGACATCATTCTGATACTCAGATAAAATGGCACAAGGCTGTCATGATGATAGAATGAAAGAGTTCATATCTAGAATTCAGCATAGTGCTTAGCATGCATTTACTAAACTCTTACTATTGATGTTAATATTTAGAAAGAAGAATGCACAATAGAATTCAGGCAAAAAAAATCGATTTGTAAAGCAGTGTTTCTTAAAGAGACTACAACTCTGTTATCAATAAAACTCTCACTTCTGGAATACTCAGCAACATATAGTAAGTGATATGATACCATATTAGCAGAGATAGTACATCAAATTCCCGGCAACCACTTAAGGTGGGGGGGGATTTTTTTTTTTCCTATTCTTAGATACAAAAATTTTCATCTGCAAGGTTACATGTATACTTTAAGCACTGCTTGCTCTTCATGTCCACTTTATATACTGATAAACAGAAAGAAAGATCTCCAGTTAAGGTCTGAAAATGTGTCTAAGATAGGTAGATATTGGTTGATATGGCTTGTCTGTGTCCCCACCCAAATCTCGTCTTTAATTCCCACGTGTTGTGGGAGAGACCTGGTAGGAGACAATTGAATCCTGGGGGCAGGTCATTCCCATGGCTATTCTTGTGATAGCAAATAAGTCTCATGAAATCTGATGGTTTGAAAAATGGTAGTTTCCCTGCCCCAGTTCTCTCCACTTCTCTGCCGCCATGTGAGACATGCCTTTCACCTTCCACCATGATTGTGAAGCCTCCCCAGCTACATGAACTGTAAGTCCAATTGAACCTCTTTCTTTTGTAAATTGCCCAGTCTCTGGTATGTCTTTATCAGCAGCTTGAAAATGGACTAATACATTGGTCAACTATATTGGCAGTGGATGGTGGGGAGGGGAACATAAATAAATGTTTATAAACCTGGCCATCAACACTTTGAGCTAAAAAAATGACAAATGAGTGAAATACACAATTCACAACTAATACTTAGCATGTATTATTTTGAGCAAATTAATAGATCAAACACTAACATAACCCCTTAGTATATTTTCAGTTGATACATATATCAAAAAGTAAAAATAAGCAGGATTGGAGCATACAGCAGAGACACTTCTCCAATGACAAAGTGAGGAGCTACACTGACCATCTCCCAGTAAAACAATCACAACTGCTAAAAAAGAAACCTTAAAAATTAAAGTCTCAGCTAGGCGCAGTGGCTCATGCCTGTTATCCCAGAGTTTTGGGAGACTGAGACCAGAAGATTATATGTGGATAGGAGTTTAAAAACAGCGTGGGCAACATGGTGAAACTCATCTATACCAAGAAAAAAAAAGATAAGAAAATTAGCTGTGTGTGGTGTTGTGCAACTGTAGTCTCAGCTACTTGGGAGGCTGAGGTGGGAGGATAACTTGAGCCCTGGAGGTGGAGGCTGCAGTGAGCCATGACCACACCACTACACTCCAGCCTGGGCAACAGAGTGAGACCTTGTCTCAAAATAATATTAATAATCATAATAGTAATATAAATAAAGTTTTAAAATAGTCTCTAAATACTGTTCTAAAGACATATGGCAAGTGGAAAAAATATTTATTCAATAAAACCTACTAAATCTCACTAAGAATTGTGAAAACTGTTCTTAGTGAGTTCACTAAGAACAGCCTGTCTTTCTCCCTTTCCAAAAACCTATTCAGCACAGCATAATGCAGGCATAGTCAAGAACATGGGAATTCTTCCTCACAGCTTCAGTCTGAAACTAGGCTATCTGCCCATGAAGGCAGGCCACACAATTTCTTATCACCCCCAGCAATGTGCTGCAGTGGCTGAGAAGTCTGATGTTTCCGGTGGGCCTTATGGACAGGAATGGAGAAAAAGGCATTTGCCAAGTCAATGGCTGTATATCAGGTACCAGGAGATGTGTTAATTTGCTCAAGCAATGAAACCACATCTGGTACGGAAGCTGCAATTGGAGTCACCACTTCATTAAGCTTACAATAGTCCACTGTCATTCTCCAAGATCCATCTGTTTTATGCTCAGGCCAAATAGGAGAGTTGAACAGGGATGTGGTGATTACCACCCCTGTAGCTTTCAAGTCCTTCATAGTGGCATTAATCTCTGCAAACCATCCAGGGATGTGATACTGTTTTTGATTTACTATTTTTCTAGGTAGAAGAAGCTCTAATGGCTTCCATTTGGCCTTTCCTACCATAAGAGCCCTCCAGTCAGGGAGCCAATGTGGGGGTTCTGCCAGCTTCTAAGTATGCCTATGCCAATTATTCATTCCAGCACTGGGGAAATGACCACAGCATGAGTCCAAGGACCCACTGGATAACCACTATAAGACAGATCCGAGCTGAAACCCCATTAATTATCTGACCTCTATAAGCCCCTACTTTAACTAGAGGACCACAGTTTTGGGTCCCCAAGAATCAACGTCAGCTCAGAGCCAGTGTCCAGCAGTCCCCAAAATGACTGATAATTTCCCTTTCCCCAGTGCACAGTGACCTTGGTAAAAGGCCCGAGGCCTCCTTGGAGAAGGATGGAAGAAAGATTAACAGCATAAATTGGTGGGTAGTGTAATGGGATTCTTCCTCAAGGGGACCTGGCCTCCCCTTCATTCAAGGAGTTCTGGGTCTGTAAACTGGCTCAACTCTGGAAATTGACTGAGGGGTCATGATTCTCTGTTTTTATAATTCAAATTAGTCTTTTGTCCATTCTACATAGAAGTTTTCTGCTTAAATTAAGTAGGAATGCAGTAGGCTTCCTATTAATTTCACTTCTAGGAACACCCTGATTAATTAGCCAATGTCAGAGCCTTACATGAGTCAGACTACTCTGATGCTGCTTTGCCTCTGCTGTCCATTATGGTAACTACACCCACCTTGCCTTTGATGGTTGAGCGCCACCACTTGGCCCATGCCACCTTGGGATCCAATTACTCCTATTGTATTTAAATTTTGTAGTTGAGTGACTGTGGTTCACACTGTTTGATCTGACATACAGAGAAGAGCAATTATAGGGCTCTTCAAAGATGCAGGTGCTGCCCTCATAAATCTCTTTTGCAAAGCACTGGTCAAGGGTATATCTTCAGGACCCACCCAGCAGGGATGAGTAGGTCTAAAGTGACTAGTCCACTCCACCATCCCAAACTCCCTAAGCCTTTAGATCCCTTTCTCTGCATTAAACCAAGAGAGATCCGGCATTTCCAGCAAGCTCAGAGTTGGCTCTCTTTTAATCCATATTTTAGCTAACCAGACAAATAAATTATTATAACCTTTTTTTAACTCCTGAAGCTGCAACATTAAATGCAGAATCCCTACTTGGTGGGCCCAGATCAATAAATTCAGCCTGATTGAACTCTATGTTTCTTCCACCATTATCCCATACCCATAATATCCATTCCCATGCCTGTTCTCCAGATTTCTGCTTATATAAATTAAAAAAACATAACAAAACAAAATAAACTCGAGCAGTTCTTTTCAAGTGTAGCACACTTCCTCATGGGTCACACTCTGAACTTACCTCTAGGGGCCCACAAGGACTTTAGTCTAGTTATAGATTCAGAAGCAAACAGGAGTGTTGGGGCTGGCTCCTGAGGAGAATCAACATTATTTTTCCTGGCAACTGCCTTAGGGGAGGCCATCACTGTTGCTTCAGGCAGTGCAAGGTTTCTCTCCTCAGACAAAAGTGGAAAGGCTGATGGCAGCATGGATTAGAGAGAGGAGGTTTCCACGACTAGGAATGGAGAAGCCATTTCTTCTGACAAAAAAGTTTCATCAGAGTTTACAAGCTCAGTGTCCCCAGCCTTATCAGGGTCCTCCCACACATCCCCATTCCAAGTTGCAGGGTCCCATTCTTTTCCAATCAATGCCCTCACTTTAACAGGGGACACCTGGCGAGGCTGTGATTACACCTGTTGTTGCAGGTCAGCCACTAGCATGATAAGAGTTTGTGTCTGATTTTCCACAATTTTAGCTCTTTCTCTACAGGAGCTAAGACTCTCACTCGGGAAAATCTTAGCAGATTTGAGGCTCAGTATCTGCTTCTGAAGCCAGGAGTTAGAATCCCTGAGTTCAGCCGGGCGCGGTAGCTCACGCCTGTAATCCCAACACTTTGGGAGGCCAAGGCAGGCAGATTACGAGGTCAGGAGATCGAGACCATCCTGGTTGATACAGTGAAACCCCGTCTCTACTAAAAATACAAAAAATTAGCTGGGCGTGGTGGCGGGCGCCTGTAGTCCCAGCTACTCAGGAGGCTGAGGCAGGAGAACGGCATGAACCCAGGAGGTGGAGCTTGCAGAGAGCCAAGATCGCGCCACTGCACTCCAGCCTGGCTGAGAGAGTGAGACTCTGCCTCAACAACAACAAAAAAAAAAAAAAAAAAAAAAAAGAATCCCTGAGTTCATCCTTTTCTTTCATCACTTTGTCCAGTAAACTTAGGAGCAACCAACCAACTTCATAGTCAAAGGTATTATGTATAGAGTCACTAAACTCTTTGCCTCTCACAAGTGGTGAATCAGGAGTGTCAAATGCATTTATTTTGCATAACTGTCTAAATAATTCAGAGCAAGGACTATCATTGTTCACCATACTATTAGAAGTAAAGTACTTAGCATTTTTTGATCTAATCATATTAAACAGCCAACTCCAGAAACCCCAAAACCAATGAAAGAACTCCATCCTTAATATTCAGTTCCTCTAGAACCACTCCTGGCACCAAAATCTGTATTAGTCAGAGTTCTCTAGAGGGACAGAACTAACAAGAGATATAGATATAGATATAGACATATAGATGGAGATATATATATATATATATATATATATATATATATATATATACACACACACATACATATATATACACACACACACACACATACACAAAACTAATAGGATATATTTAGGAGTTTATTAAGTAGTATTAACTCACACAATCATGAGGTTTCACAATAGGCTGTCTGCAAGCTGAGGAGCAAGGAATTCAGTCTGAGTCCCAAAGCTGAAGAACTTAGAGTCCAATGTTCAAGGGCAGGAAGCATCCAGCACAGGAGAAAGATGTAGGCTGTAAGGCTAAGCCAGTCTAGTCTTTTCACATTTTTCTGCCTGCTTTATTTTCTGATTAGATGGTGCCCACCCAGATTAAGGGTGGGTCTGCCTTTCCTAGCCCACTAACTCAAATGTTAATCACCTTTGGAAACACCCTCACAGACACACCCAGGATCAATACTTTGCATCTTTCAATCCAATTAAGTTGACACTCAGTATTAACCATCACAGTATCATATAACACAGCAATTCCATTCTTAGGTTTCTGCTCAAGAGAAATGAAAACTTATGTTCACACACAAAAATATATGTAAATATTAATAGCAGTATTATTCATAATAGTCAAAAATTAGAGACAATCCCCATGACCGTCAGCTGATGAATGTATAAAGTGTAGTATATGCAGACAATTGCACATTATTGAGAAATAAAAAATAATGAAATATCAATATATGCTAGACCATGGGCATTAAAACGTTAAACTAAGCAAAAGTAACCAGATACAATAGATCACACATTGCATGATTACATCTAAACAACATGTCAGAATAGACAAATTTAAAGACACAGAAAGCAGACTGGTAGTTGCCTAGGACTGGTGACTCTGGAGTAAATGAGGAGTATAGGCTTTTTTTATGGTGTGATACAAATATTCTAAAATTGACTGTGGTGATGGTTGAACAACTACGTGAATATATACTAAAAACATTAAATTGTGTACTTTAAATTGGTAGATTTTAGGGTAAATGAATTATATCTTAATATAGCTGCTAATAACAAGCAAGAATTATTCCACAGAGATGATGGAGTTAGCACAGCTTCCTTGCTGTCCACACTCAGTAGCAATCTATTTGTTTTCCTGGAGCTAATGAGCTTCTTGTGGCTTACAGACAGGGACCAGAGAGAAACACAGAAAGTGTCAGGTCATGGGATGTCTTAACACACAGGTATCTTCCTAAGGGAAATGTTAACATAGGTGGATCCTATAGGAGTGAGTCTGGTCTTTATAAAGCCCAAAATCAAGAAACAGCTAAATAGAATGGATATGGAAAGCATTCCTCCTGTTACTGAAGCCACAAAAGTATAACGAGCATAAAAAACAGACTTGCTTCAAGTGGTATAGGATTAGACAATTAGGTTCGTACAATATGAAGTGTGGATCCACACACATAAGAAAATTTCACACACAAAAAAGAGAGTTGACAGTACAACTAGTTAGGAAAAAGCAAAGTCCTTCATATATGATGCTGTTTGGTGTTTATTCAGACAGAAGAAATTGAAATTGATTTCAAATTTCATTATATACACAAAAATACATGTTATATAGCTTGAAGGCTTAAGTGTAAAAAATAAACAGTTAAAACATTGGAAGATTATTTTGTCAAATACACATATAATCCAGGTCAAGAGATCAGTTTATTCAAGAAATATTGAATCTGGTGATATGAAGATATATTTGACTCTATGAACTTGGATACCTTGCCTATCTTCCTTCCTTCTTCCTTCTTTCTCATCTATCTCAGCTGTCTATCTCCTAGAACCAGTAACCAAATGTTTATACATGGTATTAATTTTCACGTATTAATATTTTATTAATAGAATCAATAGCATTGATAGAATTTTCTATTTTGTTATGTTCTGTTCTCTTATATACTACTTGATTTCATTAACAAGAGATAATATTAACACCAAAAATTGATTTTGTGATCCAAAGTATGGCTTGAAAATCTGCTGTAGAGACTTTGAATGTTTGCATCTCTTTAGTGTCATAAATATATGTATGCTTCCTGACTTCTTCCTTCCTGATTTTCTTCTTGAATAAGTAATTTCATAAACCATTACAACGCTTAGTATGATAACCGTTTGCTCCTATTGCGGGTATGGGCTGTGGTCTGGTAGAGAGAATCAGAACCCCAGAGGGGGAGGAACATGCAGTAGTATTTGTGGCAGCAACGTGCACAGCAGGAAGTATTAGAGCCTTAGTCAAATGAGAAAGGCATCTGAGAGGGTGGGAGGCAAATGTGGCCATGTTTGGAAGATGAAATGTTTTGGGGAGCCAAATGGACTGGCAGTGAAGGGCCAGCAAGAATTGTTAAGAGTCTAATGAGGGTGAGTAGGGCATGCCCATGAAGTGGGGGACAGCAGCAGTGTAATTTGGGGTGTCCTAGACTGAGTGATATCAGGCTATCTGGGCTGGGTGGGGTGTTGTGGAAGTGATCAATGTAAAGAATCAGAGCCTGGGTGGGGTTTCAGAAAGTAAACGGTGTCAAAACCTTGGAAAAGGGTTGCCACAGCAGCCTGGCATGGGGTCATCAAACCCAAGAGAGGAAAAGGAGGTCATTCAAGATGTCTGGAATGGGAGGTCAGAACCCAAAGCAGGTAAGCAGAATGTTTAGGACTGGGTCAGAATGGGAATGATGATTTGGTGTGATTTCAAAGCCCAAAGATGGTTACAAGGGCATTTGTGTAGACTCTCATATGTGTTGAGTTAGGGAATAATGAGGGTAATCATGGTGTCTGCATGGGAAGGGTGTCAGTAGGACAGCAGTCTACAGTGGGATGTCAAAGCAAGAGTGGAGAGAGTGGAGCAAGATGGTCCCCCAGTAATCATCCCCTGAAACAAACAACTTTCATAACAAGAAAATGTCAGGTGAGCACTCACAGTACCTGGCTGTAAATACATATCACTGAAAGAGTCACTGATGAGGATAGGAAAGAAAGTCTTGAATTGCTGATGCCACCCCTCCCCCATCCCCTGGCAGAAGACACATGGCAAGAAGAGAGGATCTGTGCACTTGAGAGAGGGAGAGTGCAGCAATTGTGAGGCTTTGCATTGAACTCAGCACTGTTCTGTCACAGCAGAAAGCAAAACCAGAATGAATTCAGCTGATGCCGGCTCACAGAAGGAGTATATAAACCAATCCTATCCAGAGGAGAATAACCCAAACCAGCAGTTGAAACTTAAGTTCCAGCCAGCCTTCCCACCACAGGCTAAAGGGCTCTGGGGTTCTAGGTAAACTTGAAATGCAGTCTAGGCCACAAAGACTGCAACTCCTATGCAAGTACTAGTGCTGAGCTGGGCTTAGACCCACTGGACTAGGATGGCATGTGACCTACGGTGACAATGGCTGGAGCAGCTAAGGGAGTGCTTGTGCAACCCCTCCCTCAACCCCAGGCAGCACAACTCACAGGTCAGGGGGATACTCTTTACTTCTGCTGAGGAGAGAAGAGGGAATTGTAAAGGGAACATTGTCTTACATCTTGAATACCAGGTAAGCCACAGTAGGATAGGACACTAGTCAGTCATGAGGCTCCCATTTCAGGTTCTACCTCATGGCTGACATTTCTAGACACATCCTGGGCAAAAATAGAAACCTCTGCCTTGAAGAGAAGAACCCAGTCCTGGTAGGACCCATCAACTGACGCAACAAACAAACAAACAAACAAATAAACAAAAAACCTTGGTCCCTGAATAACCAGCAGTGATACCCAGGTAGTACACTGTGGTGAGATTTATGAGACTTGCTGGCTTCAGATGAGACTCAGTCCAGCTGTGGTGGCTATGGGAGAGACTCCTTCTGCTTGAGAAAACTCTTGCATGCTGTTCGTATAAATGTAAATCAGTACAACTACTATTGGCAACAGTATTTGAAATTCCTCACAAAACTATAAATAGAAGCATCATATGATCCAGAAATCTCACTTCTAGGTATAAACACAGAAGGATGAAAATCAAAATATGGCAGAGCTATCTGCACTCCGTGTTTATTGCAGCACTATTCACAATGGCCAATATTTGGAAGCAAAATAAGCTCAATAAATGGTCCTGGGAAAACTGGATATCCATACACTGAAGAATAAAACTAGACACTTATCTCCCAGTATATAAAAGAAAATCAAAGGCATCAAACTCTGAATCTGTCATGGTAAATTGTGTATGCATCCACAATGGAGCATTATTCAGCCATAAAAAGTGACATTCTGTCATTTTCAAAAACATGATTGATCTGGACATCATCAAATTAAGGGAAATAAGAAAATTAAGGGAAATAAGCCAGGCACAGAAAGACAAACTTTGCATGATCTCATTTATTCATGTGAGCTGAAAAATAAAACTATTGAATTCATGAAGATAGAGAGTAGAGGGATGGTTCCCAAAGGCAGGGAAGCGTAATGCAGGTTTATGGGGGAAGTGGGGATAGTTAATGGGTACAAAACATAGTTAAAAAGAATGAATAAGACTTAGTATTTGTTAGGACAACAAAGTGACTACAGTAAAAAGCAATTTAATTGTATGTGTTAAATAACAAAAATAGTATAATCAGTTTTTTTGTAACATAAAGGATAGATGCTTGAGGTGATGGATACCCCATTATCCTGATGTGACTATTATGCACTGCATTCCTGTATCAAAATATCTCAATATCACCCCAAAATATATGTACCCACAAAAATTAAAAATGAAAGAAAATTTAAAAATACAAGTACAAGTGGAATGAAGAAGGCAATAGTTTGGGGTATGGTATTTGTGGCATGTAGTGTGAAGTGTTGGACTTTGAACTTGGTAATAAGTTTGTCTGCGTGGTTGTCGGTGGGGTGAGGGCTGCATCTGTGCTGCGCCAGTGGCAGCCAGGCGTGTGGTGTCAAAGCATGAGTGGAGTGAGGAGACCATTTGTATGGGGTCATAGGCAGGAGATTGGTTTAACCCAGTGACATTTACTTAGTACATAAATACAATGAAGGTAAGAAGCAGGTTTCCTATCAGAGAATAGAGACAAAAGTGTGGAAAGATTAAAAAAAAAAAAAAAACTAGAGTAAATGGTATGGGATCAGATTGGAATTGAAGTTTTAGTGTGAACTCATAGGTATATATATAAGTAAACAAAGGAAAAATAAGTATAAACAGGTCTTTTTAGCCTGCTATTTGGGGCATTACACTGTGAATTTTTCATCTTTACTCATGAAGACAGCTTCTGATTCCAAATCACTCAGCACACAGTGGTTAAATTAGGACAACTGTAGCAGCAATCAAGTTTTGCTGTGCTTTCTAACCATTTATTTATCAAAATCCGAATGAACTACCTTTATTTTGGAGGAGGGAGGTAAGGAATGGCTCAGTCCACTTCTATTGCTAGATAATTGTGTCTTTGTGTCTGAAATTTATGTTTTTTAACCTGGAGCTTTCTTTAAAAAAAGCTTTGTTCTTATGTGTGGGTGAGACAAGTGTATGACTGGGAAAATCAGAGACGAAGATGACATTTTTTCCCTTATTTTCTTTTAAAAACTGGTTTTGGATTTAATGAATCTATGGTTTTTAAAAAAGTATTTGAAACCACGAGACATATAATTGAATTTTTCAGTTTTCTTAATAACTCTTCCAATGTAAATATTCTTTACTTTTCAATTTAAAATACATTGTTTTCTTAGCTCCAAATCAACTAATTCTTGGTAGTTAAGTATAGAAACACCATAGGGACTTTGCAGGATCAGTTGAGTCTCCCATTGTTCTCACTAGACAACTGATACTTATTAGCAGTTTATTGAGTATACTTCACTAACATGGTTTTTGTTCCTTTCTATTTATCAAAATCTCAGAAAAATTACAGCCTTTATATACTTACACTTTAATCAACAATAGCTGACAGCATGTGAAGCAATAAATAGCTTCAAGACATGCAATAAACTCTGAGGTTTATTTACAAAACAACACAGTGAGAATCATTTATTGCCAAGTTACTAAAGGTAATAGTGATTACTGCTATTAAAATACCAGAAGCTATTAAATAGTTGCCCAAGCAAATAGTCTACATTCAAACCCAGAATTCAAATTAGTCTTTTTTCATTTAACTTTAGAAAAACAGAATAGTTTAACTCTGTTCAATTAGAAAGGAAAAAAAAAATAACCAAGAAACAACAAAAATTCTCCAATTCAAACAGGTTTAGAAATTGTAAGCTTTTCTTTGGGTCATACAATGGGCTTTTGGCCTGAAGCAAATGGAAGTTTTCACTTTCTACTATAGTCATAAACTTTTGCTGATAGGTCATTTATAAGAAGGAATGAATAAAAGTAGGTCTCTACCATTTCCATAAAGATAGACTAACAGAGAACATGCAGTATCAGTTGATTATCACTTAGGAAACTGGAAAGAGTGTTTCTTGGCTTTAAAAGAGACATGATAGAAATCTAAAAGCACAGCAGATAATAGGGAATAAAGGTCTATTTGAAGTGTCTCTTCCCCAGAACTCCAAAATACACCTTTATTATGACATATAATTCCCTAGTGATTGCCTATAAAATTCTATTAAAGATAAAGATCTTGGCCAGGCGTGGTGGCTCACGCCTGTAGTCCCAGCAGTTTGGGAGGCCAAGGCAGGTAGATCACTTGAGGTCAGGAGTTCAAGACCATCCTGCCCAACATAGTGAAACCCCATCTCTACCAAAAATACAAAAAAAAAAAAAAACAAAACTTAGCTTAGCGTGGTGGTGGGCGCCTGTAATCCCAGCTACTCGGGAGGCTGAAGCAGGAGAATCACTTGAACCCAGGAGGTGGAGGTTGCAGTGAGTCGAGATCATGGCTACTGCACTCCACTGAGTGACAGAGTGAGACTCTGTCTCAAAATAAATAAATAAATAAATAAAATAAAGATCTTCTATTCTACCTCATTCCTCTGGCGACCATATTCCTCTAAGTCGGGGTTCCTCAGTTTGGTACCAATGACATTTTTGAACTGGAAAATTCTTTGTTGGAGAGGGGATTTCCTGTGCATTTAGGGTGTTCAGTAGCATCTCTGACCTCTATCCCTTAGTTGTCAGTATGATCTAGTCCCCAGTCATGATAAACAAAAATGTCTGCAGATATTGCCAGTTGTCTCCAGGTGGGGGGTGGGGGCAAAATTGTATCTGACAGAGATCCATTGCTTTTATCAATCTCAAAATGCATTATCTGTCATAGAGTCCAATTAAAACAACACATAGTTTTTGAAATTGAGACTATCTCATAAAAGCTGAGACATATGCTTCCTGAAGTCAGAGTTATTGTAACCAACCACTTGTTACTCATCTCAAAACACATTCACTGATTTCTACAGTCCTCCCCTGCTCTGAGGATTTGGTTTTCAGGCAGGTGGAGACATAAATACTATTTAATTTCTAATGCATCATTTCCCATGTCTCTCAAAATGTTCCCAATAGAGGTCACACATTTTTACATATAAGAAAAAAATTCAGAGTGAAAATCCACACAATTTTAAATAATAATATATTTAAAGCTAATCTAAACTCACAATAATCTTGGGGATATGAAACCTGGGGTAACAGTTCATTACAGTTCAAGAAGTCTCATGGATGTTTGAAACTTCAAAGGAGAGCACTATTGCTGATTAGTTACGTAGACTGAAGTTTTCAGTCTCTTGAGAAAAGTTTGGTATTTCAAATCTGAAAATGATTTAAGCTTACTGGGGAATGAAATAAACTGCAAAACCTTTCTAGCACTCTAAATCCTGATATCACAGAGATTACATCTGATATTAGCATATTTTGTGGTGCCTAAAGCAGTTTTAGGAGCTGACAATTGCCAGGGAAAAAGAGAATTTCCGGGAAGTTTGGTCCTAGGAACTGGACATGTGTAGGCATTTCTCCAAATTCAAATTCAAATATGTATAACAATAACAATAGGCATTTGTATAATAGTGTACATATAAAACAAATTTATAGTTGAGGGGATATATTTTATTATATTTGTAGTACAGAGGCAGATACTATATTACCGAAGATGTTTTGTTTACTCCAGATAAACAATAACTAATTCAGCACGTTTAAGCATTCATCTTGACTCTCCTCACTTTCCAACTCTACATCATTCTCTGAGGCAGCAAAACATGTACACTCAGTGGCCTCACTACAGCAGTCTCTCCATCTTAGAACAGTGTGAATGTGCTCTGGGCAATATCTGTAGTGTGAAGAAATGTGGCTTGAGTTTGTTAATTTGTACCGTGTCCTCATATGCACACTTTCTCAAAGGGAGAGTCCCAGAGTCCCCATAACAGTCTTTTAAATAAATCTTGTTCTTTATACTGTGTTCTGCACTTCTCTACCGGTCCTTCTCCCAACACAGACACACACACACACACACACGCACATCTTAATTTAGAAAGAATAGCAATCATTATTTGTAAAGACAACTGTTGGGACAGCAACAATTCTCTGGAGAAAAGTCTAAAACATATCTTCTTAAAATGTATTCCTTTACTATTAATTATATTTGTATTAGTTTTTTTCACACTGCTATTAAAGACCCCAAACTGTGTAATTTATAAAGAAAAAAAGGCCTCCACATGGCTATGGAGGCCTCACAATCATGGTGGAAGGCAGAGGAGGAGAAAGGCATGTCTTACACAGTGGCAGGCAAGAGAGAGAGCATGTGCAGGGGAATTTCCCTTTATAAAACCATCAGATCTTGTGAGATTTATTCACTATCATGAGAATGGCATAGGAAAATCTCGCCCACATGATTCCATTACCTGCCACCTGGTCCCTCCCACAACACGTGGGGATTATTACAATTCAAGGTGAGATTTGGGTGGGGACACAAAACCAAACCATATCAATATTCTGTCTGCTTTTTAAATATTTTTTTATTTTTTGAATTTCTATAGTGTATTTATTATACTTCATCACTTGGGTTTCTTTTTATTTTAGAAAACCCTGAATCCGCCATTTCCTAGATGTCATCTCAAGGCTACATAACACTAAGTCCTCATTACAGAGTTAGTAAAAAACAAGATGGTTATCATAACTGTCTTCATTACAGAGGCTGCTTGAAAATGAAGTCTACACAGAGCTAACCAATAAGAAGACAGTAGAAAGCAACACACCAAGGCACCATTTGAAACCTCAGTTGCAGCCTTTCTTAAAATCAGATCCACATGATAGTCAACAATTTTTTATTGATTACATAGTATATTCCAGGCACTGTTGTAGTTACTAGGGATATAATAGCAAATAAAACAAACTCTCGGTGATTATGGACCTAATATAATACTTGGCATGACAATATAACACAAAATAAGCACAAGTGCATATAGGATTACAGCAAAGAGGATAAAGTTAACAGAAAGCACAGCATGTTGGAATATTATTATTTTTTATAAGGTGGGTAGGTAAGACCACTTCACTCCAAGGAAATGTAAGCAAAGTCTGCAGGAAGGGAAAAACTAAGTCATGAGAATATCTGAACAAGGAGCCTTTCAGGTAGTGGAAATAGCAAGTGAACGGTTCCAGAGGTAGGAATCACTCAGTGTTCCAGGAGGTCAGTAAGGCTAGAGTGGAATCAGTGAAAGGATGAGAAGTAGGAGATGAGGTCAGGTAGCTATCAGTACAACATTTGTTTTTATCTTAGGTAATCTGAGAAGCCATGTCAGGAATTTAACAAAAATGTGAAGTCATTTTAGGTAATTTTTTTAAAAAGTATTATTCTGTTGCCTGCAACTGACCACAAAAGGGCAGGGCGGTGGGCTGGAGCAGTCCAGTAGGGAAGCTATTGCAATAATCTAAGTAGGAGGTAGGTGATGGTGGCTAGGATTAGGGTGAAAGCAGTGGGAATGGTGAGAAATTGTAGAATCATGTAAATATCTTTGGACCAACCAAATTTATTGATTCATTGGTGACAAGGGGGCCTGTGGATAAAGAGAAAGGTCAGGGTTCACTTAAAGGGTTTTGGCCCAAGAATTTGGAAGGATAAAGTTGCCATTTACTGGGTAGGGAAAATGCAGAAGGACCACCTGTTTTCATTAAGATAATGGAAAGTAAGTGTCAAGCATTGAGCATGGGAAATACTAATTTTGAGATGCTCTGATAAAAAACACCATGATATGCTTCACACATCCTCCTTCAAGGAATGACGGGATTATTCCCTTATACATTAGAAATGTTGCACACTGAAAGGCTTCAGCTATCAGTCCTATTCAGAGAATGCCTCATCTGAGGAAAGCCCAAGGTCAAGCAGCTTTCTGAGGCAACCTGCGTCTAATGAATATTGATGCAGACATATAAACAGCCTATCTCCTTGTCACAGCCTTACAACCCTGAAGGACCATATCACATCCATAATTTTCCCTGTAGGCAGCTGAAAGCTTTACTTGGACTGCACTGAAGTTTAACTTCTCCATACATACAATACTGCTTTCTTCCCCTCCCTTCAATAGGAGTTGATACCCCAAACACTCCCTAATAAAGATCCTGTAATTGAATCTTAATTTCAAAGTCTGCTTCCCAGAAAACCCAACCTACAAAAGATGTTTCTTTAGTAACCAAAGGGAAATACTGTTGTTACAGATTGACATGGATCTATAGTTTTGAGACAGAGAGCTAAACTAGACATTTGAATTAGAAGTTATGAGCATATACCACTTAAACTCATTAGATCTGTTGAAATAATCTTTGGAGTGAATGGAAATAGGAAAAGAAGAGGTTAAAGTTGAAAGAAGGGTGTTTCAATTTTTAAAAGTCAGGGAAGTTAAGGGGAAGAAGTATCAAAGAAAACAAAAATAGAGCAGCCTGGGAGTATGGAAAAAGTCCCAGGAGATTGGGGTACACTGTAGGTCAACTAATTAAATTTTTAAATAAAGAAGAAACTATCAATTCTGTCACATCATGAGGATGGGTTGAGTAAGATGAGAAATTAAGTTGTCAATGGAATGGGCACTGAAAATGCAAAAAAAAAAAAAAAAAGCCATTTGAGTGGATTAATGTGACTGAAATCCTGGTTACAATGGAGTCAACAGATAATCCTGGAAAGGAGAATAACCACAACTTTCTTCAGGCCAGTATAAACAATATATTTGAGAAGTTTCCACAGTGAAGGGAAGCACAGAAATGGATAAATTGCTAGAAGGTTTACGGGACCAAGAGAAATTTTGTTGTTGTTGCTTTGTGTTCAATTGCAAGATATAATGGCAGTATTGCATGCTGATGGAAATGATCAGGTAGAGCAATGGATGCTTATGATGTAAGAAGCACATAGGGAAATTATGAAGCAACATCCTTCAGAGTAGACATACATGGAATCAGTAGAATTCAATCAGATCAGAGTCAGAGTAAAGAGCCCACAATTAGAAGGTGTGTGTTTTAGATTTGCATTGGGCCTTGCCAATTACATTTCCAGTCCTAAGTGCTAGTGAGGTCCAATAACCAGTGTCATTCTGCAAAGTGATTATGGATCATGATGAGACATTAAATACTGAGTTGTGTTTAGAAAATTTTAAAGTGATTTGACAGTAATTTTATATATGTTGAATCTAACAGTTAAAATGGCTTTCATTTTACATCTTTTGTATTTCATTTTTCTAGTAATTCATTTAAATGCACCCTTTATAACAGAAACTTTAAGAAGCACTGATCTAGCATGCAAGTGAAAGAAATGGTTTATACAGAAATGAGGAGTGCTTATTTTTAATTACTGAAGTACAAGTATCACAGGAGCTTTGGTGTTGCTTCGCCAGCTGGAAACTTCTGCGGCCAATGGCACCTTCTACCTGAGGATTGCCTGTGACTGCTGGGCTTGTTCCACCTATGCAGCCTGACAAGCTGTGCTCGGTTTGTGCTACTGGCCCAGATCCCACATCTGCCAAGTGTGAGCCAAAAGCAGAGTGGCAAAGGGGTGTGAAGGTGAGTGAATGTGGGGTCCAGTCACTGAGCACAGCCAGGCACACTGGCTGCTACAAGAGGGCAGGCAGCTCCAGGTGCCAGTATAGGAGGAAGGTCCATGTAAGCCTGTGGTTGGACCAGATGCAGGCACCTGCATCTGGATGAGGGGAATATGGTGGCTTGTGGAAGCTTGGAGATGCCAGGAACTGCAGAACCCCAAGGAGGGTGTCACAGCCCTGGTTTGGGGAGCCCTTAGATCTGGGTTCCATAAAGGGCCACAGCTCTTCTCTCCTTCCTGTTGTCTGCATTGTGGTGTCGGGGATGGGGTGCCTGTTTCCGTCCTGTTTGTGTTACAGCTCTTCTTTTAGTCCTGCCCAACCAGCAGGTCCTGAGTTTTTTTCCTACATCTAGGAAGAATGAGGTACATAGACAAATGGAGGGTGAGCAAGGCAGAGAGGAGTTTCACTGAGTGGCAGAACAGTTCTCAGGAGACCCAAAGTGTGTAGCTCCTTTCCTCAGGCAGGTAGTCCCAGGTCCAGCTTGTCAGTGGAGAGGAGATCCACAGTGGGTGGCTCCCTTCTGCAGGAAGGTCATCTCATTGTCTGTGAAGCCCTCGTGGAGAGGAGACCCAGGGTGGGTAGCTCCTATCTGCAGGCAAGTTGTTATGTCATTTGCTGGAGTCTGGCTGAGTCTGGGGGTTTTAATGGGCCTCATAGGGGAGGAAGTACATGCTGATTGGTCCATGGGCAGCCAGGGGCAGGCCCAAAAGCAGCACCCTAAATTCTCATTCTGATCTGCCGAACTGACAGCTGGGCCCCCAGGCTATTACTATAAAGCTACCAATGTCATTATTCATAGAACTAGAAAATACTATTCCAAACTTAAGTGGCAGTGAAAAAGAGCCCAAATAGTCAAAGCAATCTTAAGCCAAAGAACAAAGCTGAAGCCATCACACTACCTGCATTCAAATTATACTACAAGTCTACAGTAACCAAAACAACATGCTACTGGTAGAAAAACAAACCCATATACTAATGGAATATATTGGAGAACACATAAATAAAGCCACACATCTGCAGCCATCTGATCATTGACAAAGTACACAAAAATAGGCAATGAGGAAAAACTCCCTATTAAATCAGCTGGCTAGCCATACATAGAAGAATGAAACTGGATTCCTAGTTTTCATCATATAAAAAAAAGTAACCCGGCTGGGTGTGGTGGCTCACGCCTGTAATCCCAGCACTTTGAGAGGCCAAGGAGGGCGGATCACGAGGTCAGGAGATGGAGACCGTCCTGGCTAACACAGTGAAACCCCGTCTCTACTAAAAATACAAAAAATTAGCCAGGCGTGGTGGCAGGTGCCTGTAGTTCCAGCTACTTGGGAGGCTGAGTCAGGAGAATGGCATGAACCCAGGAGGCAGAACTGGCAGTGAGTCGAGATTGTGCCACTGCACTCTAGCCTGGGCAACAGAGTGAGACTCTGTGTCAAAAATAAATAAATAAATAAATATTAAAAAAAATAAATTAACCCAAGATACATTAAATACTTAAACTAAAAACTAAAACTATAATTCCTAGAAGAAAACCTAGGAAAGTTTTATTTTTATTTTTTTTTGTCAAAATGATGAATTAGAGACTTTGGTGCGCCTCAGCCACTTGAAAATAGCAAAATAAATCATAAAAATGAACTCTGTGAACTTTAAGAAGAAAAACGGGAATCCAATGGAATTATGAAGAATACCCCAGATCCTGGAGAGGAAAACACCAGCAAACAGCTCCCACGATGGTGTCCAGTTGATAAAAAGAAAGAAAGAACAAAGAAAATATCCCACCTGCATGAAAAAGTTACAGAAATTAAAAATCCTAGTGTCTCCAGATAAGAAAACATCAGTGCAAGAATTCTGGCATCATGAAAATCTGAATGTAGTGATACCACCAAAGGATTCCACTAGATTTTAAGCAATGGTCCCTAACCAAAATGGAAACTCAGAAATGACAGATAAATAATATAAAACATGGATTGCAAAAAAATTCAATAAGATCCAAAACAAACTTGAAAATTAACACACAAAAAAATTCTAAAGCAATTCAGGAATTAAAGAAAAAGATAAACGTCTTAAAAAGTAATCAATTACAGCTTCTGGAATCAAAAAAACTCTTGAAAAATGTTAAAATATATCAAAAGCTTTATTAATAGACTGGATCTATCAGATAAAAGAATTTAAGAGCTTGAAGATAAGCCTTCTGAAGTAACCCAGTCAGACAAAAATAAAGAAAAAAGAATTTTTTAAAATGTACAATGTCTTCAAGAAATAAAGGATTATGTAAAACAATCAAACCTATTAATTATTGGCATTTCTGAGAGAGAAAGAGAAAAAGAAAACAACCTGGAAATTACATTTGAGGGAAAAATTCAAGAAAATTTCCCTGATCTTGCCAGAAAGGTAGACATCCAGAAACAAGAAATCAAGAGAACATCTGTGAGATACTATATAAAATGACTTCACTAGGGCATACAGCCACGTGACTGTCCAACATCAATACTTAAGAAAATTTTTTTTTTTAGCAGTAAGCTCAAAATAGCGAATTTCATTGTTTTTTTAAATTATTATTATTATACTTTAAGTTCTGGGATACATGTGCAGAACATGCAGGTTTGTTACATAGGTATACATGTGCCATGGTGGTTTGCTGCACTCATCCACCCGCGATCTACATTAGGTATATCTCCTAATGTTATCCCTCCCCTAGCTCCCCACTCCCTGACAGGCCCTGGTGTGTGATGTTCCCCTCCCTGTGTCCATGTGTTATCATTGTTCAACTCCTACTTAAAGGCAGATAGAGAAAAAGGAAAGATCACCTACAAAGGTAACCCCATCAGGCTGAAGCAGACTTCTGATCAGAAGACTTACAAGCCAGGGGAGCCTGGGGATCTATTTTCAGCATGCTTAAAGAAAGCAAATTCCAACCAAGAATTTCATATTCCATCAAATTAAGCATCTTAAGCAAATGAGAAGTAAAATATTTTCCTGACAAGCACGTACTAAGAATATTTGTTACCACTAGAAAGCCTTCAAAGAAATCCTAAAGTAGTTCTAAACATGGGAACCAAGAACCATATCTGCTACCACAAAAACATACTTAAGTACATAGCCCACAGACCCTATAAAGCAACAACAAAATAGAAACTACAAAGTTACCAGCTAACAACTTAATGATAGAATCAAAATTTCACATATCAATATTAACCTGGTACATAAATGGCCTAAATGCCACCCTTAAAAGGCACAGAGTGGCAAGTTGGATTAAAAACAAAACAAAACCAAGATCCATATGGCTGCTGTCTCCAAGAGACCCACCTTATATGTAATGATACATGAAGTAAAGTAATGATGCTCAAAGTAAAGAGATGGAGTAAGATCTACTATGCAAACAGAAAAGGAAAAGAACAGGGATTACTATTCTCATATCAGATAAAACAGAGATTAAACTAACAACACTAAAAACAAAAAAGAAGAAAGAAAGAAAGGAACTACATAATGATAAAGGGTTCAATTCAAAAAGAAGATTTAACTATCTAGAACATAAACACACCCCACATTGTAGAGTCTAGATTCACAAAACCAGTACTCTAGACCTATACAAAGACTTAGCCACACAATAACAGTGAGGGAGATCAAGACCCCACTGACAGCATTAAACAGATTGTCAAGGCAGAAAACTAACAAAGAAATTCTGGACTTAAACTCAACACTTGAGCAACTGGATCCAATATGCATCTACAGAATACTCCACCCATGCACCACAGAATATACATTCTTCTCAACTGCACAGGGAATATACTCCAAGATTTACCACACGCTGAGTCATAAAGCAAGTCTCAGCAAATGAAAAAAAAAAAAGAAATCACAGCACCCATATTCTTGGACCCCAGTGGAATGAAAATAGAAAGCAATACCAATAATATTTCTCAAAACCCCATGATTACATGGAAATTAAACAGCTTGCTCCTGAGTGACTTTTAAGTAAACAACAATATCAAGCCAGAAACATAAAAAATTATTTGAAATAAATCAAAACAGAAACACAACATAAAAAATCTCTGGGATGTTGCAAAATCAGTGTTAAGAAGAACATTTATAGTGATAAATGCCTACCTCAAAAAGTTAGAAAGATCTCAAATTAATGATCTAACATTATACTAGAGGAAGTAGATAAACAAGAACAAACTAATCCCAAAGCTAGAAGGAAAATAAGACAACTCTAATTAGAGTTGAACCAAATGAAATTGAGACCCAAAATTCCACACAAAGGATAAATGAAACCATAGTTTCATAGTTGGTTCTTTGACAGGATAAACAAGATCAATAGACTGTTAGTTAGATTAATAAAGAGAAGAAAAGAAAAATTCAAGTAGGCACAATCAGAAATGACAAAAGTGGTGTAATGTCACAGCCGATCACACAGAAATACAAAACTCCCTCATAGACAACTATGAACATTTCTATGCACACATACTAGAAAATCTAGAGGAAATGGAAAAATTCCTGGAAACACACAACCTCTCAAGATTGAATCGGGAAGAAATTGAAACACTGATGAAACCAATATTGAGTTCAAAAAGTGAATCAGTAATAAGAAACCTAACAACCAAAAAACAGTAATAATAAGCCCCAGTCCAGATAGATTAACAGCTGAGTTCTACCAGAGGTCCAAAGAAGAGCTGATAGTAATTCTATTAAAACTATTCCAAAAAATCAAGGAGGGGTGATTCCTAACTGATTCTATGAAGCCAGCATCACCTAATATCTAAACCGGGCAAAGACACATACACACACACACACACACACACACACACACAGAGACAGACACACACACACACACAATGAAACTACTGGCCCATGCCTCTGAAGAACACAGACACAAAAATTCTCAACAAAATACTTACACGTCAAATTCAACAACACATCAAATATTTAATTTACGATGATCAGGTAGGGTTAATTCCTGAGATTCAAGGTTGTTTCATCATATTTCAACATATACAAATCAGTAAATGTGATCCGATCACATGAACACAATTTAAACTAAAACCATATGATCACCTCGAGAGACGCGGAAAAAGCTTTCAACATAATTCAACATCCCTTCATGGTAAAATCCCTCAAGAAACTAGGCATCAGAGGTACATATCTCAAAATAATAAAAGCTATCTACAACAAACCCATAGCCAGCATCATATTGAATGATCAGAACTGCAAGCATTCCTCTTGGAAGTGGATCAAGACAGAGAGATCTTGTCTCACCACTCCTATTCAGGACAACACTGGAAGTGCTAGCCAGATGTTAAACTTTTTTTTTCATATATTTGCTGGAGGCAAGAGGAAGAAACAAAAGCATCCAAATAGCAAAAAAAAAAGAAAAAAAAATCAGACTATCTGCCTTCACTGGTGATATGATTTTATACCTAGAAAACCCTAAAGACTCTCTCAATAAGTTATTAGAACTGATCAACAATTTTAGCAAGGTACTAGGATACAATCAATGAACAAAAATCTGTAGGAGTTCTATACACCAATAACTAAGAGCCAAATCAAGAACACAATTCAATTTACAACAGCCACAAAAGAAGTAAAATACCTAGGCATAAATCTAACCAAGGAGGTAAAAGATCTCTGCAGGAAGAACTACAAAACACTGCTAAAAAAAAAAAAAAGGGAACCCTTGACAAAAATAAGCACTGTGGAAAGGACTCCCTATTCAATAAATGGAGCTTGGATAGCTGGTGAGCTATATGCAGAAGAATGAAACTGGATACCTACCTTTTACTACATACAAAAATTAACTCAAGATGGCTTAAATATTTTAATGTAAGAACTAAAACTATAAGAATCCTAGAAGAAAACCTAGGAAACACTATTCTGGACATCACCTTTGGCAAAGGATTTATGATTAAGTCCTCGAAAGCAATTGCAACAAAAATGATCATTGATAAGTTGGACCTAATTAAACTAAAGAGCTTCTGCACAGCAAAAGAAACCATCGACAGAGTGAACAGATAACCTACAGAACAGGAGAGAATATTCCCAAAATACGCATCCAACAAATGTCTTATATTCACAATCTACAAGTAGCTTAAAGAATTAAACAAGCAAAAACAAAAAATTCCATCAAAAAATGAGTAAAAGACATTAATAGGCACTTCTCAACAGAAAGGGATACAAGTAGCCAAGAAATATATGAAAAAAATGCTTAATATCACTAATCATCAGAGAAATGCAAGTCAAAACCACTATGAGATACCTACTCACACCAGTCAGGGTGGCTATTATTTAAAAGTAAAACAACAACAGATGATGGGAGGCTGCAGAGAAAATAGAATACTTATATACTCTTGGTGGGAATGTAGATTAGTTCAGCCACAGTGGAAATCAGTTTGGAGATTTCTCAAAGAACTAAAAATAGAACTACCATCTGACCCAGCAATGCCACCCAAAAGAAAATAAATTGACTGAAAAGACACAGGCACTTGTATGCTCACAGCAGTACTCTTCATGATAGCAAGGACATGGAATCAACCTAGGTGCCCATCGGTGGTGGAGCATATAAAGAAAATGTGGCACATATACACTACGGAATACTACATAGCCCTAAAAAAGGAAATTGTGTCCTTCTTAGCAACCTGGATACAGCTGGAGGCCATCATCCTAATTGAATTAACACAGAAATAGAACAACAAATATTACATATTCTCACTTATAAGTGAGAACTAAATGGTGCATACATGTAGACATAAACTTGGGAACAAAAGACACTGGGGAGTACTAGAGGGGGCTGGCTGAGAGGGAGCGTAGCAAGGCTGGAAAAACCAACTGTTGGGTGCTGTGCTAACTACCTTGGTGACAGGATTAATTGTACCCCAAACATCAGCATCATGTGACATACCCATATAATAAACGTGTACATGTACCCTTTGAATCTAAATAAAAACGGAAAAATAAAGAATGGCAAAATTAAAAGAAAAACAAACAATACATTTTGCTAAATGAAATAAGTCAGACACAAAAGGACACATGCTATATGATTCCACTTATATAAGGTAGCTATAACAGTCAAATTAATAGAGACAGAAAGTTACATGGTGGGTGCCAGGAGCTGTGGGCTGGTGTTTGGGGAGTTAGTGTTTACTGAGTACGGAGTTTCAGTTTGGGAGGATGAGAAAGTTCTGGAAACAGACGGTGATGATGTTGCACAAAAATGTGAATGTACTTAATGCCAAAGATGGTTATAATGGTAAGTATCGTGTTCCATATTTTTATTACAACTACAATAATAAAAGATATGTAGGAATTTGCCAGATGAACAAGATGAAAAAGGGCATTGCCATGAAATAAACATAATGAATCTGAAAAAAATAAAAGCATCTTTGATTGCAAAAGAGCAAATTGCAAATATCCAAAGTAATCCTTGTAATACACGTGACATTATAAATTTTACGATGCAGTGCCTATGATTCACGCACACTGTACCTGAACCAGCTGTGAAACATTCATGAATCATAAACTCCTGTATCATCTTCAGAGCAAAAATGCATCCTATTTTACAAGAAATATTCATCAAAAAAGGGAAAGAGAAGTAAAAACCCTGAAATTTCTAGAACCTTTCAAAGATATCAGAAAAACAAATCAATACCTCTGACAGGACCTGTTAATTCAGAGGGTCATGCTGTAAGACAGCTTGCATTTAATTCAAACTGTTTTGGAACAAGATCAATTCTGTAGTGAGATCAAGGCAGCAGAAATTTTTCCTCAGGGCTAAAAATAATAATTCCTTGAGGCCCAGACATTAAATTCCATGGCTTCTTGAAACTATTCAAAAATGAGAAGAATGGATAAAGATTAAAAGAAAACACATGCTGCAAGCTGACAAAACACCTTTTTAGACTTACACCCAATTCGTTCATTAGTCAAATGTGTGGTTTTTTTTTTCCCTTCAGGTAACTGGAGGTGTCAACATTCAACTTCTTGGTCTGTTTCTCGTCATTTTCTATTTTCTCCTGCTATTTGTCTCTGAGCTGTTATACCTGTTATTGCAGTTTCCAACAAGAAAAAGCCAGGAAAAGGAAAGAGAATCAAAGCATCAGAGCGAGTCACCTCACTGGGAGGTGGAACCAGAAGTTTTAAAGCAGTAGCAAAATTTGTATGTTCTGGGTGTCAGTGGACACTTTCTGTATAATAATTTTATTTTACTTTTGTTAAGAATCATGAAGCAACCACAAAAAATTAAATCAAGGCTTATCAAGTAGATGTTTGAAAGAGAAACAATGATTCACCTTATAGGTAGATGTACTTTGCTATTGAAGGGATTGTGGGCAAGTCTAAGCAAAGCTGAAGGGAATAAGGAAATTTCATTCCTTAGAGAAGACAGCATAGAATAATAGTACAGAGAGTGTAGGGTAGAACAGCTTGCATTCTAATCCCACATCTGCAACAGGATTCTCTTTGACATAGGAAAAGTTACTTCTGCTTTGTTGGGAGTATTAAAAATGGAGAAGTTTTCAAGTGCTTAGTGTAGTTCCTGGCTTATGATAGCATCAATTAAAATTAGGTATTGATGCTATTATTATTAATATTGATCTCTTAGCCATCTATATCTTCAGCATCCAAAGTGTCAGTTTGTTCTTTAAATTGCAATTGACCCTTTTTTCTCAATAGAATAGCTAGTAAAATAATAAAGTGGAATTTCTTGGAATGTATCCATTCTCCTCTTTTACATTTCATTTTTTTATTCATTATTTCAAATGCCCAGTACCTTCTTGTTCACCCTAAAATCTTTTATGAGTTTATGAGTTAACAGGAAAACAGATTCCTTTTAGAAAATTGGAATAAAAAGAATTACCATTTTTTTTTTTTTTTTGAGACCGAATCTCGCTCTGTGGCCCAGGCTGGTGTGCAGTGGCATGATCTCAGCTCACTGCAAGCTCCGCCTCCCAGGTGCAACTGATTCTCCTGCCTTTGCCTCCCAAGTATCTGGGATTACAAGCATGCACCAACACACCCAGGTAATTTTTGTATTTTTAGTAGAGACAGGGATTCACCATATTGGCCAGATGGGTCTGAAACTCCTGACCTAAGGTAATCCAACCCCTCAGCCTCTCAAACACTTTTTTCTACATTTCAAACTCTTTGCAATTTACCTGCTATCTCATTTAATCTCCTCTTCCCTACACTGAAGACAATCAACCTCCCTCCTATTAACCAACCACTTATCCTGCCTCCTTATGTACCTTAAATACGAAAGATAAGATAGTCCCCATTATTTTAATAAATATTTATTGAATATATTCTTGACAAGTAATCCTGCTTGTATTTTTAGCTAGCTAATGTGAGATACATCTTTGACATGGTTAAATGTATGATCCCTTAATTAATTTAATATAATAAACTAATGCTACATTATAGGGGTATAAACACTTTTAAAAATATATTTTCTATTTTAAAGTTGGCTTTATACTTAACATAAATATAATGGACACTTTGTTTATTTTTGAATGATTATCAATCATTCAAAGGTCAGTACATCTGACCTTTCACAAAAAAAGTAAAAGGTCAAATGTAAAAATTGTAGGTTTTGTGGTTCACATATAGACTCTGCATATTATTCTTTAATTTTTGTTTTTGGTTCCATATTTTTGTTTGTTTATATGTTTCTTACAAACCTTTTAAAATACAAAAAATATTCTATCTTACTTGTCTCTCAAAACATAGGCCATTTAACCCAGGAACTGTATTTGGTCAATCTGTGCTTCACTGTAAATGTTCTTTGTTATTTTAAAAGCAATACGGACATATTTCAAGTAAATTATTGTTTTCACTACCACTCATTTTCAGATGTAAGTCCACAGGTTAACATAAATAAGAAAGTAGCAGCCAAAAACAAAAAAAAGAGAGAACAGTAAGAAAAACATTTTAAGTCAAAGGAAAATTGCCAGCTTTTATCTTCTCCTAAATCCCAATCCTTCACTCCTAAAGGAACACATTAAGTGCAAAGGGGGTCATACTTTTATTCCATTGCAAAAAGGGTCATACTTTTATTCCATTCCCCATGTATACATTTGTTATCCATTTGGCAAATTGTGGTTGAATTTCTCTTGGGATGACCTCGCCAGCAGTAGGTGAATGGATCATTTGATTCAACACTAGTTCGTAAGTGATTGTTCTTTTCAATCAGGCACACACTCACTGCTGATAACTGCATATTTTGACTATTTGTAGAAGTGTTAAAGGAACTAAGAATTTTATCGTAAATAAGCCATGTTGGAACAAATATCAAGGCCTTGAGAATAATATACTTTATACCTTTGCTCAACATATAATGTAGGAAAATATCCAATTAAGAGTCTAGAAATGGAGTGAGGAAGGGCCAGCTGAGTATTTTGTTTAATTTTTAATTGTTAACTCTTATAGTACCTTCATAAAGTTTCCAAATCTTTTCCTTTTTCTTGCTTTTGCTGTAAATACAAAAGTCCAAGCCTGCATTATATTATACTCAGTTTGAATAAGGAATATCAGCTCCTTAAGAATAAAATGAAACAGTTTTATTCTTCCCAAGATCTTTTCAGGCTTTTATATTGATCATCTTCATTTCTGCTGTGTAGCTGGCTTCATCAATGATGTCTCAATTTATGTCTATAATTGTTATTTTGCAAAACTGTCTCATTTTAATTAATATGATGCCTTACTCATTATTTTTAAATTATTTTCTTCATTATTTTAAAACTAATTTTATTTCTAAGGACTGGGAACAGGGTGGGTGGATGTGATAATCTCACACATGTTCTTGTCTTTTTTCCTTTTATTTTCCCTCTGGTGCTGGGATAGAGAGGATGAAGAAAGAAAAATGTATTCGTTAGATGAATTATCTGTATTGAGGTTGTTCTAGGATTACTGTGCTAGAGGAAGGACCCCCAATAAATTCCACCATTAAGAGGCTCAATATCAAGCAACAATCCTGTGATCTAGTGGCACTGTATGGAATTCTAACGTATCTTTTAGCTAATGTCCAGGTGGTAGTCTGTGTTACATCTTGATATGCATACCTCTCTTCTTCACATGCTTCAGTATCCTTTATTTTATTTATAATTAGAAGCACAAACTCTGAGATTTACGGATCCAGGCAGGACTGATCTCACCTACAATACTGGGCAAGATCTTCAAGGGGACAGTTGATGCTTTCTTGCCAACTGCCCACTCCACCACCACATTTCTCTCCAATGTTCTCTCCCTTGTTTTAGTTGTACTGACTCAAATCTAAGCAGCTATTTGATTAGAGTATTGAATGGTGATCTTCCCTGTTTTGTGTGAATTTCTTTGGGATTTTCTTCTCTCAATCCTTGCCAGACTTTTTTTGTAATAACACTGGACTAGCAACAATTTCAACCTCACCTATTTATAAAATAATGTTATCTAGTACTATTTGAGACCTCTCTTACTTGGATTTTTTGGAGTATTGTACTCAGAATCAGGAACTTTTTGAGATAAAATCTGAGAAATGAATAACTTTTGCTCAATTGTGCTTTATTCAGGTTCTTATCTGTATTCTATTCTATAATCTCCAAGTGAGGAAAATAGTCAATTCATATTTCTCTAAAGTGTTTCTTCATAAGAGCCTTAAAATAAATTGTATATATTTTAAACATTAGTACATTTACCCCAATATAACATCACAAAATTAACCTTTGGAAAATACAGAACTAATGTAATACAAAACATTCCCATCCCTCCAAAAACAGATAAAATAAAATATAATAGTTCTCTACAGCCTAATCTAAAAGAATGTGATGTAATGGATAGAGCACTGATTTATTAATCAAAGGGAGAAAAACTAATGTGGCTCATAAACCTTTCCATTTCTGAGTCTCATTCTTTTCATTTTCCCGATAATAATGATAATAAGATCGACCTGTTTGTTAGGGTCAGGTTAATGACCAAGTGAAATGATGCGTTATACATATGTCAAAGAAATATAGCCTCTTAAAAGAAAGTTAACGCAGCTGACATTCAGTAACATATCTCGGTTTGTAAGTAAAAAATTAGAAATAAACTCAAATAAACGATCAATACATATTATAGTAAAAAGTAATAATTTGAATTAAGATAACTTGTTGAACACTGATTTATCAAACTCTATTGAACTAACCCATTTTTTAAATTTATACTTTTGTTTGTTTGTTATTAGAAAAACATTTCCCTAGATAGAAGCTGCTCCACTATTCTGAAGGGAAGTAGAAACGATGAAAAGCAGAACTGGAGATGATCCATGATGGACATATAGTGTGAGTAAGAAATATATATTATTTGTTTTAAATCACTGAGATTTTGAGTTTGTGTATGTGTCCATAATATGAGCTAACTATCCTTAATGATACCATAAGTAAAGAATTTAAAGTAAATAAGATGTGCCTGACCGCATATTAAGTGCCACACTAAGTGTTAATTATAGCTCCCTGGCGGTAAACAGGGGACTGGTTCCAGACTTCTGAGTATATAAAAAATCCACACATACTGAAGTCCCACAGTGGGTCTTATGGAACCCTTTGTATACAAAAGGTTGGCTCTCCAAATAGGCAGGATTTATATTATATCTCTCAAAAAATCTGCATATAAATGGATCTGTGCATTTCAAACTTGGGTTGTGCAAGGGTCAACTGTGTTACTATTTTATGGGATGAGACGGCAGAGATGATACATGGAAATTTTGTGTTTAAAAAAGGAGAAATATGCAAATGGTGGTGGGGTGGGCCAAATGGAATGTGAGTTACATGAAAGGGTAATTTGGAAGGAAACAACGCTTTTGTGAAGAAAAGAAATACTTGAATATTTGAGTATAAAACATAGTTTTATTTAGTACCCTTGCCTCATCTTTAGTATGATAAAAATAGATAAAAAATTCAGACAGACAAAGAGGGAGGAAGCTGCTTGAGTGAACATACTCTGTTGATGTAAATACTCGAGGAAATTAGCTCTATATTGGGTGGTGTGCTGATGAATGCTTAACAAAAAAACTTTGAAGTGAAAGGCACTGATTTGTTGTATTTGATGATTTCTGTGGCATAAATATGCCCACCATAGCAATGTTTAGCTGGTAACATGACATAGCTGCACAGAGTCAGGAAGAGATGCACATGACTGGCTCTCACGATTTCGGCGCGGTCTGGCTCCAGCATTTGACTGTGACAAGTTTCACTGGCCGGTGAGAACGCTGGAGGAAAAAAATCTACCTATAACTGACCCTTATTAGCATAACAGGTTTGAGAAAGCAGAGCCCTATTTTCCTCAAGTGAATGCCATCAATACAGCCGTCAGGCAAAACTGCATTCATGCACTGAGGAAAATCACTGCTTCTCAAACAACTTTTGGATACCATAAAAGGCCCGTTCTTAAAAGGGGAAGTGGGAGGAGGGGAAACAAGAATTGTTGCCTGAAAAGAAACGACTTTGATCTCCATCAAAACAGATTAGTTTGAAGCCAATTTGCTGCTATCTTCAAAACTATATTTCCCCTCAAATTCTGTCTTCCAAATTGAGCAGTGCGTCAGCTGTAGGTAGTGCTAGAGTGTGAAAAGGATGAGGATGGAGGCAGCCAGGGTACCTCCAATGCATCTTGTTATTAGAAGACTTTTGAAGAGTAATTTGACGGGAGCTTTTCAACTTTTAGGTCACTAGTTTAAATGTAGTCTCAGTTGATCATGAACAAAAGTGGGTGGTTAGTGGCCTATGAAAAGTACCTTCATGGTATTACCCTTGTTCTTTCTAATAGAGACTGCCACTACAGTTGGCATCCTTTCTTTTCCTTCTACCAGAAGCACAAAGGGTGAATAGAAATGTCATTTCAAGTATTTTTTCAGCCTTTGTACCAGAGAAATTTGAAATATGAAAAAGGCCAACTTCTTTTCATCTTTAACTCACAGGTAGAATTATTGAACTATAATATGTTTCCTAGATCTTCCTGGATTTTATTAAAATGAAACCTGAGCCACTTTACAAGTAAAATTATGTCTTACTTCATAGAAAGTTAAATTACATAAAGGCACATACTTGACAAATATTTAAATATAAAATGTATAATTTCTTGACCTGAATCTTACACATGTAAAATTTATTTTGTTTTCCTTTTCTTTCTCTTATTTTTTTCTTGCTTCAATAAATGAGTTCCCATGAATGTAAAGACAAAGATCTTATTACTCCATTAAATGAACTATCTTAATATTTGATTTTTTCTATTCTTTATCATTACAATACTTTGACTTTTTTTTCCTCCTAAAGAGACTGTAGGTTTTATTCCCTTTCTTTTAATTATTTCATGAAAATCCTCCAAATTTCCATATTACTAATATCTCTACCTTCATATAATTTTGTTTCAATATTAAATGATCAATTAAAGCAAACTTTCTCTAAGTACCTGGAGAAAAGCAACAGAATAAATATTAGAGTAGAGACACAAAGTAGTACTTGGTAATGCCAAGAAAATTTCAGCAGCTATCAGTAATCAGTAGGATATAACAGAAATAGCCCTGTTTTAGAAGTGATGAAAACTCAATCAACTGATTTTAAGCAGCAGTTACTTTCTATGGGGTTAGCTTTCCACATCTCAAAAATAAGATTGATGTGTTATTTTTGCATCATTTTCAATACAAACATTCTATGAAATCTTCACTTTTATATCATCCGAATTTAAGTGACAGGGTGTTAATATTCGAATGGGATTTAAGCGAGATGTAGCTGTGCCTTATGTCACGTCAGCTGATGGTAAAGATTGATGCTGGGATTTTCCTGGGTTAGTCATGTTAAAATCTCCCCTAGGCTTTAAGGCCAGCTTCATGAATTCTCATATCAGCAACTTCTGCAATTACCACATAACACCAGAAGATAAACTCTGTTCTCTGAACATTCATATAGAAAATAGTACGTCATCTTATGATTCTTATGATTGGCATAGCAAAGTGAAAATATATCAACACCGTATTTAGCCCAACTTGAAGCTGCATATTCAGTCAAAGATAGAGCTTTTCCTGGCCAAAGATACTTTGGTCAGAAATATATAAACAGTGAACACCAAGCTATCATCTTGCAAGTAACACATATGCTCATGAATCTCTAGCTACAAATAAAAATATCAGCTAAAACTACCCCCTTCTTCTAAAGGAATAAAAACCACAGCAATTACAAGATTTGCCTATGGCCATAAAATGAAGTGGGGTTTGTCTCAGAATTAGAATGCCTACCATCAGCCTTTGAGTACAAAGTTAATTCCCCTACACAAGACTGCATCAAAAATAAATCCAGCTGGACAAAAGGCATACAAGACAGAAAATAATAGTCAGCTGCAGACTCTTTGGATCCAAAGTATAAAATATTCAAGTATGTGTTTCCAATCCCTTCATTCTCTCCTGTAATGATTGCAGCTAATCCCTGCCTGCCAAACGTTAGTTCTTCAATTGTGGCGATCAATAGAATAGATTAGCTGTGGAAACCCTCCATCCATATTACCCTTGCTTTCCTTTCCAGATGGAATTTTCATTCACTAGAGTGGAGGCAAGCATGTGAGGTTTCTCCCTCCATACACAAATATAAACTCATTAAATGCCAAGCTTGTCACTTTAGAATTTATACACACACACACACACACACACCAAGGAACATACCTGTAGATTTAATAAAACAGCACCAACCCTCATGGCTTCACTAATTTCAAGGCTATACATCAGCTGTGGGAAGCGAGGAGGGCTTTGATTATTTGGTGGAAGCACTTCAATATACACAGTGCAGATGGAGTTCCTGCAGAGAAAGAGAGGAAAAGAAGATGGTTACGAATCTGCATCACATTTAATGTTAGACTGCATTGTTTATTCAGTTGTTGGGTTTACAGGAGAAAAAATTTCCAAATTTTATGAAAAATAATACAATCAAAATGAAAGGATAGAAAAAACTACCACCAAAGTATAATGGTTTTATGAAATTATCTTAGTAAAAGTAATTGACTCCAGTATCTGTTTTTCCTACTTAGATTAATAGTATGAATTAAAATGGAATAGCTATACAAATAAAGCTAATAAATTAACTTGCCTTGACTTCTGACTTTGTTTTTAATGCTTCTCTAATAGCAAAATCATTCTATAAACATCTGGTAATAAAAGCTGTCCTTGGGGCTTTTTTGCTGTTAAACCAGCAGAGGGAGTATTGATTACAATAACTCACAAAACAAATTATGGGCTGCGTTTTATCAGTTCTGTTGCTGACATCAATGGCTTAATGTAAGTGCATGTGAGGAGTCAGGATCATAAAGAATCCTACGTAAAATAGTTGCAAACAAAACTAAATACGTTTTAAAATCTTCTCTAAAAAGCAATATATGATAAGCTAGGAATTAGATTTAATAAAGCCCTTATAATGACAGGAGCTTTTCTTGAAGGACAAGATACCTTATCATTACAAGGAAAAAAAATTAGCATTGACATAGTCAACTTCTTTGATATCTCTGAACTTTGAATTTGTTTTATAAAACAAAAACTGAAGAAGCATGTTAGTCAAGGTTTGTAAGGTGGAAACATTAGCTGAAATATATCAATGAGATCTGAAAATACATAAGGTTAGCCCTCTATCGTGAAAAAACATATATATGTATACATACACACACACACACACACATATATACACATATATACACACACATATACACACACACATACATATAACATTTTGTACAAACATACCACCACTGCCTAAGATGTATGCTTTGAATTTAACAAAGTCATGATTTAGTTCAAAACACATTTGTTATAATTTCTATTTGGGGATGAGAATCTTTATTTATTTATTTATTTATTTATTTGAGACGGAGAGTTGCTCTCCAGCCCAGGCTGGAGTGCAGTGGCATGATCTTTGCTCATTGCAACCCCCACCTCCCGGGTTCAAGTGATTCTCCTGCCTCAGCCTCCCAAGTAGCTGGGATTACAGGCCTGTGTCAAAATATCTGGCTAATTTTTGTATTTTCAGTGGAGATGGGTTGTGCCATGTTGGCCAGGCTGGTCTCGAACTCCTGACCTCAGGTGATCCACCCTCCTCAACCTCCCAAAGTGCTGGGATAACAGGTATGAGCACCACACCTGGCCTAGAATCTCCTTAAAGTAGTCCCAAACTCTTTATAAGATGCTTCAATTAAAAGACATGGTCACCAAAAATATTTGTCTGAGTTTATTAACTACAACATTCTACTTTTCAAAACCTTTTGAAAGAAATTCAGGCTGGGCACGGTGGCTCACACCTGTAATCCCAGCACTTTGGGAGGCCGAGGCAGGTGGATCATGCGGTCAGGAGATCGAGACCATCCTGGCTAACATGGTGAAAGCCGGTCTCTACTAAAAATACAAAAAATTAGCTTGGCGTGGTTGCGGGCGCCTGGGGTCCCAGCTACTTGGGAGGCTGAGGCAGGAGAATGGTGTGAACCCAGGAGGCCGAGCTTGCAGTGAGCCAAGATTGCGCCACTGCACTCCAGCCTGGGCAACAGAGCAAGACTCCGTCTCAAAAAAAGAAAAAAAAAAAAAAGAAATTCAGATCATAGGCACTAAAATTTCGTTTTATAGCTTGTCACTTTATAATATACCTAAATTCAAGTTGTTTCTGAGCATATCATCAGTAGATAGATACCAATAGAATAGTAAGCATAAAAGCTACAGTGACTTTTAAAAATTTCATGGTTGGGTGCGGTGGCTCATGCCTGTAATCTTAGCACTTTTGGAGGCCAAGGTGAGCGATCACAAGGTCAGGAGTTCAAGACCAGCATGACCAACATGGAGAAACCCCATCTCGACTAAAAAACACAAAAATTAGCCAGGCATGGTGGCCTGTAATCCCAGCTACTCAGGAGTCTGAGGCAGAAGGGAGAATTGCTTGAACCCGGGAGACGGAGGTTGTAGTGACCCGAGATCGTGCCATTGCACTCCAGCCTGGGTGACAGGGCGAGACTCTGTCTCAAAAAAAAAAAAAAATTTCATGCTTACATTTATCATGATATTGTTCTAAAGTAATCTCACTTTAAATTAAAATATTTTAAACTTTCATAGTTAAAATATCTGTATTCATTTCTGCCTCTGATTTTATCTATTTAGTATCAAAATTTGCCAATACAGTTAATCAGATTATATTTCTTAAATGGGTTCAAACTGATGATGAAATGTTGCTTATATACTTATAATTATTAATGTAAACATGAAACAATGGGAAGTTACAAAATGTATTGTATACTGCAAAGATTCCCACTTCCGTGTTGTGAGAACAAAAGAATCGTCATTCTGAGGTAGACCTAACATCCTTCCAGGTGGTGATCTGACTCCAGAAGCAGCCCCAAGATGTAAAACATTTTCCCTGATATTACCCTTGAAGATCTTGGCTTCTTTTAGGGTCTGTTGTTGATCAAGTTTTTAAAACATTTTATGAATCTCCTTCTTTTCTCTGATAGCACATTCTCTATGCATAACAAGTCCTACAACGTTATTGGTAATAAAAGTAGGTGAGTGATGTTGAACACAGAATTTGTAACCAGATATTCCTGAGTTAGAATTTTGACGCTGCCCTCAATGATCTAGAGCAAATTATTTCTTTCAGCTTCATTATTTCCACATAATAAGTGGGAATAATAATAACATCTAAGGTCAGCATAAAGATGAAATAAGTTTATATATTTGTATATGTAAGTACATGTATACATATATATGAAACATACTTTTATAACTTATTTTAATAAATTACTCAAAATAAGGCTTAAGGTTTCTTATTCCACTCTATGAATAGTGCAAACGATCTTGCATTTTCCTTAGCTACATCCTTTATAATACTGTAGATATTTTAATTGAATCCTTTCACTTGGCTAAATTCCTACAAAGGCTTGATACTCCTTCACCCCTCCTGAGCATGGGGTATGTTGGTGTTAGAATTTGAGCATGTTGTATCATAATCTTTAGGGTAGGATACAAGAATCTACAATTTTCACAAATTTCCAAAGTTCTACTTATAGAAACTAGACTTTGAAGACCACTGCTTCAGAATCTCATGAAAAGTACAATATGTAGACTCACCTGTTTTTTTTAAATTACCTCAGGAGAAAAACTCTACAAAGTCACTTAACGTCTTCAATAACCCTGGATCCAAGAGACTTCCTCACTGTTTAACATTTTTTTTTTTTTGACCTGGAACATATCTGTACTGCAGATTCGAAGCTTTCTTTCAAAAGCTAGGCCCTTTCTGCTTCGATATTCTTTAGATCTTCAGTTTACTGGTCAAGAATACTTTATAAAGGTTTTACAAGAATATCAGTGTCTTAAAGCTTGTGAAAGTATAGTTAAACTACACTTATTATACTTTTTGTATTTCTTTATTCCTTTCCCTTTCATTATCTTCCCATTGTAGAGGGTTAAAGTGAGACAATGCTACAATAAGGACCTTAAACTCGTATGAGTTACTTGGATACTTGTCACAGAGTCGAAAACTTTAAAATGCTGAAACAAAGAGGACTCTAGTCTCAGACAAAACACAGAGACAAATTTTAGCCCAACATGACCGTCTCCTTGATCCGTCCTTACTCCTTTGCTTCCTCTGTTCCTTTCCACAATAATTCAAAAGCTAGAATTGCTAATTGTGTTCCCCCACCCCCTTGGTCTTGAATGTTAGTTATTTGGAGGAGATCATATATTAAGGTCTTGTATTTTTCATCTTCAACATCCTGGCATGTCCCTATAATGTGTTTAAATAACCACCAGGCTTCTTGAGGGTTACTGCCTTTTAAAATGCTATCTCCTTTTTATCCCTGATGTCAGCACAGTGTCAGAGTTAGCTTTTCTAAAATTAAATACCCATAGTATTAACAATAAAATAATAGTATTTATGCTGTAATAAATAGTAGTATTTCAACAGCATCATTTAAGCACTTAATAAAATAGGGCAGTCACTATATAAATAACACTTTACGCAAGCATTTTGTATTCATATTTTATCGCTAAATGCATAAAACTGAGCATCTATATAAGAAAAATTTTATTTTTGTAATATAGCCAGTATGATGCAGATAAATCTCCATTTCTAAAAACGAATCTCATAAAGCTTTATTATATTTCACCTGGTAATAAAGGTCAAAGTAGCACAAAAGAGGTAATATATTTCTTATATACTCTTGAAACCTACCCAATAGTTCCATAAATATAAATACATATATACTTTTTTTTGATAAACATAGAAATTGACCCTTCTGGTCTTAAAGCTTGAAACTTAACATTTGTTTTATCTGAGCTCCTTCCTCAGGAAACAACCTTCAGGCCTCCCAAAAAAGGTATCAAAGAACTGAAACTCACCAGATCACCACATCCGATGAGATGCCAGACCCGTCATTCATTATGATTGCTTCCTAGCCCCTCCCTAGTTCCTGTTTTCTTACATATTGTTACATTTCTTCCCTGCTATGTAAACACTAACTGTAGTCAGTCAGTGAGTTGGATTTGAGATTGTCACCAATTTCCTTAGCTGCAGCACCAGATTAAAATCTTCTTCTTTGACAATTGTTGTTCAGTGATTGGCTTTTTGTATGACCAGCTGCAGAATCTAAACTGAACCCCTGGTGTTCCTGTGACAGATTTTCGTTACCTGACCAAGAACACATTGCTTGTGTCTTGGCTGCCTTGAGCCAAGAGTCTTAGAAGGCCTCCTAAGCAGTTGCTCACCCAATTTTCACTGGAGGTGTTTTGGTTTTTTTCTGGCCCCACAGCAGCTACCCCCAACTACATTCCTGATTGTCTAGTCAGAACAGCATTTGAAATTTGACATCTGCACCCGGATAGGTGAGTGTCAGGTTCTTTGTGGGCCTGGACAGCATGATCCCCTCCTCTCAGTTTGAGAATTTTTTAAAGAAATTTTTATTTGTCAGTTGAACAAGCCCAAATGACTGAAAGTGGGAAGCATCCTGTGTTAGTATGGACACTTTTTGGGGGTTTCAGTATGAACACTCTTGGGGGCTTGTTTGTAATTGTGAGGTGTGTGTGTGTGTGAGCAAGTGTGTATCTTTTGTGGGACTAGACAGTGGGATTGGCTCCTCTCAATTTGAGAAATTCCTAAGGAATTTTTCTTTGTGGGTTGGTCAAGCCCAACCAGTAGAAAGAAGAAGCACCCCGACTGTTTCAGTTTGGATGCTCTTAGGGCTCGTTTATTGTTTCAGCAGTAGGATTGTGTTGGCGATTGTGTGTGTTTGATATAGTCATAGCAAAGTAGAATTCAGTAAGCTAATATTTTCTGAAACACTGTTTGGCTCCAATATTCTTTGGAATCTGGAGTTTGCTATTGAATGGGAAAGCATGACAGAGTTCCATGTATCCAGACTTTTGTGCTACTGCTCTAACCATGGTCAGGCCTGGTCAGTATGTGATGTTCTCTTGTGATGCTGTTTGGTTCCAGTGTTCTTTGGAGTCTGGGGAGGTTTAGCCTTTAAAAAGCAAATTGCCATGAAAACTATTCTACCCAAAATTTTGATTCACAGCCTTCAATGGATTACCTACTGAGGTCAAGAAAGTGTGGCTATGTAAACCAGTGAGTTTCTATTGCTATATCATGGCTATAATTTTGAGGTAAAATAGATTGGATCTTTATGTGTGTTTATATGCGTCTTAATGGTTTATGTATGTTCATGTATTACGTTTTTTTTTGTCTACCAAATTGGTTTATAAATAAAAGAATACACATAAGTAAGCCCAAAGTATTTTTCAAGTTCAAATGAGTTAAGTCAACCACAATAAGCAAGCTGGCTTTAACATTTTTGATAAAATAAAAATAAAAATGCCTTTAGAATTGTCAGCATACATTTTTGCTGAGTTTTATATATGTCTCTGCTAGATATGATTGAGGTGTCATGGTTTGGCATAGAAGGTTATAGAACTATAAACCCAGCTAACATAAAATGATCTTGGTTTGTGTACCTTCTTTGACAAATGAGACTAATGTAATGTTGTTAGTTGATTCTTGTGAGTTAATGGCAAAAATACCCATATCTTTAATTTTAAGATTTAGTTGAGGACCTGACATTCATCAGCTATTAAAAAAAAAAGTAATGAACAAGGAAAAAGCTAACTTTAAATGATGGTGTCTAATATTTCAGTTTTCAGAAGAAATCTGGATAAACTATTAAAATGAAATAATCAAGTACTTGTAAATTGAATAAATGTTGTAGGTACACTTTTTGTGTAATATAAAATTTTTAAATTGTTTTTGGTGCTCATTGGGTGTCTGGGTCATTTCCAATTAAGAAAAAGTTATGGGGAAACATATTTCTAAAAATTGTGGAATGGTTCTCATCTGTAAAATGCTAATATCTGATAGTCAGCTCAGAATTTCTTGCTTCTCAGATGTTCACTAAAGTTTTGTTCACTAAAATTTAAGGCTACTAAGAATTCTAAAGAAGATGTGTTTTTATTGAGAAAACGAATCTGTTTGTCTAGTTCAGAAGTTATCTAAAGGCTAATTAAAATTATGGGCTTGAAATGGTTAGTTATGAAACAAGGCAGAAGAAAACCAATAAGTAGAAGAAAGAGATGTGTAAAAAGTTATAGATACGAAAATATATTTTAGGAAGGTGATAATGAAAAAAATAACAATTTTTATAAGAAAAGATTTTGTATGGTGAATGTTTGTCCAAAATTAAAATAACTGGTTATTAAAAAAAGAACAGAAAGAAAATCTAAGACAAAACAAAAGTCCAAGCATGTCATGGATGGTCTGTGTAAGTCATATGCCATTTTTCCTGTTTCTCTGTGTGTCTATCTTCATGCCTGTACAAAGAAAATACAAAGTTGAAAAAGCTTAGATAATAAAATATCCTTTAAAACTTGATAAAATAGGAATGCTTTGGCTAATTAGCATTGTTCATAGTTAAAGCTCATATCTTAATGAATGTAAAATATAAATTATTGTAAAGAAATACATTAGCAGTTTGGCAATTTTTTAAATATAGTTAAGCCCAAAGCTGGATGTAACATGGAGCCAAATTTCATAGTATATTTGCTATTCTGCATCACATACCTAAAGTGAATTTCTTAGTTACAGAAAATGTATAGTGGTACTGCTGGACTTAAAGACAGTAAATATCAAAAAACTGAATCAGGAATAAAATATCCATCAGGTTAATTTTTTTTGGCTCTGGGTAACACTGTAAAGCCAAAGTTAATTGAGTAGAAGATAAATTGAGGGTTGGACTACTGTTTATTTCTGCTTTTTTTTTTTTCTTGAGACAGGGTCTTGCTCTGTTGCCAGGATGGAGTGCAGTGGAGTGATCTCAGCTCACTGCAACCCCTGCCTCCCGGGTTCAAGTGATTCCCCTTCCTCAGCCTCAGTCCTCAGCTGGGACTACAGGTGCTGCCACCTCACCTGGCTAATTTTTTGTATTTTAGTAGAGATGGGGCTTCACCATGTTGGTCATGATGGTCTCAATCTCCTGACCTCGTGATCCACTCTCCGTTGTCACCAGGCTGGAGTACAGTGGCACAATCTTGGCTCACTGCAACCTCCACCTCCCAGGTTCAAGCAATTCCCCTGCCTCAGCCTCAGTCCTCAGCTGGGACTACAGGCATGTGCCACAACACCTGGCTAATTTTTTGTATTTTAGTAGAGATTGAGTTTCACCATGTTGGCCATGATAGTCTCAATCTCCTGAACTCGTGATCCCCTCTCCTCTGCCTCCCCAACTGTTGGGATTACAGGCATGAGCCACCATGCCTGACCTATTTTTGCTTCTAATTTTCATTTATTTGCTATTTGTTCTACTTAAATATACAAATATATACACATACACATATTTATATGTATACATATACACATAGGTATACATATATGTATATATATTTGTATACATATATATAATATATAAAACTATTGATGCTTTTTAGTTTCTAATGGAAAGCTTTTATTTGGTTCTATGAATAGTCATTTTGTTTTCTATGTATTTCCAACAATTCACCATTTGTTCTGTTTATTGAAAGTTCCTAAACTACCTTTGTCAAGCTTCAAAACATTGATGAAGGACAGCAGCCATTTAAATTTGATTGGTTTTTCTTACCTCTGAGTATATTGATAGCTATGATAATTTTAAGGTTCTTGGCAAAAATCTTATAAAAGACTTATTTTTATGAGTTCTAAACACAAATAGTACATTATATATTTTGTAATTTGGAAAAGTAGATGAGAATAGAAGTGTTTAAATGATGTTTATTTCCAATGTAATTCAATTCAATCAATAATTTCAGTTGGTTCAGATCCTTTCCTTTAGTGAAGAAAAACTGTGATATGGGTTAAAAGTTTTAATGTTCAGGAAAGACTGGGCTGTTTTTTTAAGAAAAATTTTATTGATTGGGATTTCTCTGAAACTACTTTCATTGTGTTTACCACTATTAACATTAAGTGACACTCAATTGAATTAGGTAGTAATTGCTTTAAAAATTGTGACACTTTGTTGTAATTTTTGATCCAAATCCATTTATCTCTGATGGGCATTCATGTGGTACTTGAAAACAAAATATGCACAAGTGTTGCACTGGTTTGAAGAGTTTGGTGTGAAAGTTACTTAATCAGTTGTAAGTACTGTATCTAGAAGTAAATCTTAGAAATGTGTGATGATGCTCTTTTAAGTAGCTGAAGAGAGATTATTATGTGGTTTTCACTTTGTCCTTGCTTTGTTGTATAGTATTTAAGTGAAATGAGATTGCTTATCCTTATTCTGAATTTCCAAAGCTGATATTTGCATTTGCCATTTTTCAATAATGGAAAAAAAAACAACATTAGTTGTCTTGCTTTCAAAAGTTTGTCAAAGGACCTATCAAAACTTTGATGCTTTTGGTCACAGTTCTGTCACTAAAATGCTAGCAATTAGACATATGGAATGAGTAACCTAACTACTTTAACACCGTGGTCAGAAGTGCTATAAGTAGTATCTGCTAAGCTCCAAGCCACTGTGTTTTAATTTGTGACATTTTAGAATAATAGGCTTTCTGTAGTATAAATATCCTATTAACTAATCCTTGTGCTGTTAAGTTACAGGTCTTTGAATCCTCAGTCTGAAGAAAGCACTGACTTCTGTTAAATTTTGAGCATTGATACCAGTCAAAGCCTCATCTTCAGACACAGGAGAAGGTGACAATCAAAATGAACTGCTTTCATGAGACACAGGGCCAGAAATTAAAACTATTCAATCCCTCTAGACCCAGGAACTATTGTGGAAACTGTAGGTGTGTGAGATGGTGAGGGACAATTTTGAGGGACAAACTCAGTTCAGAGTTTCTGTAAATTAAACGTTAATGTCAAAAGCACAATGATGCAAGGTCAGTGTCTGGGCCTATGTGTCAGAATAACAGGGTTTTCTTGGTGCATTGATCTGCTCTTTAATAGATAATCGTAAAAGGCTATAAGAACTTTGTCAAACTGATTAAAATTAGATAGATTTGTTTATAAGGTTTTATTAAAATTAGATTTAACATTAATAATATACCATACAAAGATACAATTTTGTTTTCTCTTTTGAACAAAAATTTCATGTAAGAGGAAACTGCAGGGAAAAAAAGGAGAGGGGAGAGACAGAATAAGTTGGCCTCATGCTATCTTAAGTATTAGGTCTTATTGCTTAAGAAACAGAGTCTCCTCTCTATCAAAAGGTAAATGTTTTTGTTTTATTATTTTGGCTAAATAAATGAATATTTTATAGTGACCTGTGATCCTATTTTGTGATATCGAGTGTCTTAAACCTTTGATACTCGACAGAATTTCCAACAGCAAAATTTCAAGTTCTAAATTCAGTCTTTGTGAACTCAAACCAACCTTTTTGGATATTAGTTGCCCTGAAGTTCAAGAGAGACATGTAAGGCTTATTAGGCTTAGTTGTTATGTTAGAATTATGCAGGAGATATTGTCAAATCTGAGGTGGTGCTAAGTTTCCTTTGGGTGATATTTATATGGATGGGTTGTTAAAATGTGTTTGAGGATTATATGAGATTCCTGTAATTCTGATATGTCTTAATATAAGTTGTCAGTAATAATTATGATTATTATGTTACATTGTTGTATGCCACAGAAATAACCAAATTTCTTTATCTACTGTGCCTTTAACTATGACTCTCTTAAGACTTTTGTCATCTACAATTATTGTTTTGCTTTGATCCTTCTCAAAAAGTGACTTATAATCAGCTACAGTCTAGGGATTGCTTCTTTGGTGTTCGTGAAAAGAACTTTTCAATGCAGGTTACTGATAACTTTGGAGATTGTGCCATTAGGTTAGAGAGGAAAATTCCAGGGCACTAATTGAAAGGCTGATGTGTTCATAAAGATTGTTAACCCAACATGAAGCAGAGCAATAATTGATTGCATGGACTAAACTAATGAAGGACTGAAATAATTTTTGTGGCTTTTATCTTTGGAATATTGCTGATTTTTTTGTTTTGTTTTTCAGAGTCTGGATAATTTTTTAGATCTACTTATAAGCTTTAAGTTATGCTTTAAGTATATTAAGTAGAGTATACTTTTGTAAACAGAACTTGAGGCATATTTTTTCTCTGCCTATTTTCTCCGGAATTATATTCTTAATTCATGTGTGTTAGTTTGCATACATTTAATGACAACTTGTTTTCTTGTATAATGGGACACAATTGGAGGAAGTGGTTATTTTCTTAGGGCTTTGAACTGAAATGGGCTTGGGAAAGGTTCCAGAAAAGCCAGTGTAGGTCCTATATAAACAATGAACCTTGTTGCACTTTGGGTGGTTAATCAGGCTAAGTATATGGGCCTGAAGCTTCTTTTGCAAGTAGATTTGTCCTGCTATGACTTGCCTTTGTTGGAAGTTGGGGGGCTGAAGAGAAAATGCTGTGTTTCAGAAGAAAATGATACTATTAGATTAGCCTTTGATTTCTGGGTGGCCGTGAAATCACCTGTAGTATGACGCTGCCCACGATGCCCCTCCTCAGTATTAAGCAGCCAGAAAGACTGACAACCAGTTTCCCCATGATTGAAAATTGATAAATAGAAAGGGGGGACTGAAACCGACCAAACAGTCCCATAGATCACTTTTTCGATAAACATAGAAATTGACCCTTCTGGTCTTAAAGCTTGAAACTTTTGTGAATTGTTTTCTGTTTTATGTGAGTTCCTTCCTCAGAAAACCACTTGCAGCCTCTCAAAAAAGTATTAAAGAAATGAAACGCACCAGATCACCATATTCAGATAATGAGATGCTAGACCCCTCATTCATCATGATTGCTTTCTTGCCCCTCCCTAGTTCTTGTTTTTTTACACATTGTTACATTTTTTTCCCTGCTATATATTCCCATAATTTTAGTTGGTCGGGAGGATGGACTTGAGACTGATCTCCCATCGCCTCAGCGGCAGCACCCAATTAAAGCCTTCTTCCTTGCCTATAATTGCTGTGTCAGTGATTGGCTTTCTGCATGGTTAGCAGCAGGACCTAGACCGAAACCTTGGTGTTTTCGTAATAATCTTATAATTGAAAAAGATCCTTAAAACAATGTAATTTAAGTCTCATTTTACAAAAGAGGATTTTAAAAATGGAAAAGATTTGCTGACTGAATCAAGATTATAACATTAATTAGCAACAGCAGATAAACTAAAATACAAGGCTTCTGAATTCAAAATCTGCTTTCCATTTCTCCCTACGTCCTACAAGAACAAATATGTAAAATAAACTGGAGAATTTTTACTTATCTATGTGTGAATATAAAACATTTTTGGTTTGTAATAAAGGATGTTACCTTACAGGAAGCCATAAATTATTTCAAGTCTGAGGTTCAGACTATGAAGTCACAATTTTAAATTATTAATACTGTGAATCAAACTTCATCTATAACACTTATTGTAAGAATAACATAAAATATGAATAAAGAAGAGGGTTGGAAAATAGACTTAAGATACTTTAAGTTTGGGAATGATATAATTATAAAAAGACAACTTTTTCATATGACAATAGTAATTAGTAGTAATGAGATAATGTTGCTAGCTTATAGAGGATTGTATTATCTTATTATTATTTTCTATTATATATGTCAATATGTGCTACAAGGAGTCTATTTGTAATTCTGCATTTCTAGCTTATTTCTAAGATGAAGGTTACAGATATTTATATTGCTTTTTCTGGTAGATTTCAGACAGATTAATTACTGTTTTTGTTTTCCTTTGTCTTCTACCAATATTGTGCTAGAAAAGCTATGTTTACAGTTTGATGTTCACAGATTGTATTCTATTATTTTTGAAATACATATAGAAATCTACAAGAGCAAAAACTTCACATTGAAAACCAATATAGGAGGACAGAGAAAACTTTTCTGGAGAAGTTACAGGGCAGAGTTTTAAGATAGAAGATGTATTTATATATAAATACCACAGAACATTAATAGACAGAGGAAAACTCACATGTCAATTTACAGAAGATTAAAGAAAAGAAATGTATGTTTTGTGGAACTAAAGAGAAGGGTGTAAGTAAAGCAGTAGTAAGAGTTAAGGTACAGAGGTGGGACTCATGGGCTATATCTGTTGATATAAACTTCATCTTGACAATGAGGCTCAGCTGGTAAAGTTTAAGCAGATTAGTGATTATAACCAAAAGTGCCAAGTCATTCACAGTTCTTTAACACACTACTTTGTTTTGTTTCTTTTGATCTTCTTGTTTCCTCTGCTGGGATATTCCATTATCATTCTTGCCCAGGTAAAACTGCACTTGTATTTATCTACTGCTATCTGTCTAGATTTACCTGTGCCTGCATCTGAATCCCATGTGGGCAGAGATCTCATTTTACTTGTTTTATATTTCTAGTACCTCCCCAAGAGACTAATATTTGTGGGAACTTAGACAATTTTTATAAAAATAAATGAATAAATAAATAGCCTCATCATTTTTTACTAATGATAAACTTAGCATGTACATTTGTCACTAGTAAAATGATCTTTTAAAGAGAAAATTGTATTTTAAAAAGAATGTATAATCACAATGGGAAAATAATTGTATTTCAAAGTAAATTATTTCATCTCATATTAATTAAACATAGCCTTGCATTTTATGAAAAGAATGGGAATTTAAAACGTATGTTAGCCCATGCATCAGTCATTTTTATCGTAATTTTATTAGAAGCTATTTGGGGAGAGAGAGTGTCTCTTATTATCTAATTATCAAACAGTAGTGCTTTATTCATGTTAGGATGAAGTAAATATTTACTTAATTTAATTGGATAACGTAAGTATAAGTTAACCAATATACACGACTAAAGAATATCCCAAAATAACTTAAGTGTTTTTTAAAAGCTTTTGGTTTTTATTTCTTCTGTATGCTTATCAAAGTCTCAAAAAAAAGTAAAACAAAACACTAAACTATGTACTATTCCTTCTCTCACTCTCTGAATCTTTAGCTGGTTTACTAAATTAGAATAACACAGACATACGTATTTCATTCATATTGGACTTATTTTCAGTCAATATTACTACATTTATGGATGAAAGCTGTCAATTTTAAAATAATAATATAGAAAACTGTCTAAATTCTGAAGCCTGCTGTCATTTTTTGATGTTATTATTTAGTTAGCTTACATGCCATGGTTGCTGGCTGGGTCGATCTGTAAAAAAAATCACTATATATATAGTGTGTGTATACATATATATATAGTGTATATATATAGTGTATATATATATAATGTATATATATAGTGTATATATATATAATGTATATATATAGTGTATATATATATAATGTATATATATAGTGTATATATAATGTGTATATATACAAATATATAATATATATATTTGTTCATAATCTTTAAATATAATCTTCCTTATAAAAGAAGTCTGAAAGCAAAGCCTCATAACTTTTCAGTTCATTCATCAATTCAATTTGAAGGATTAACTCCTCTCCAGAAAATAGCAAATATGATTATCCTACAGTGAACATGACATTATCTCAGCAGGTAGAATGGAAGTATATGGATTTTATTCTCTGCAGGTCCCACTTGATATTTCACCAAACATTCTAAGGTGAGTTTTTAGTATCCAAGACATTATTTAATGAAAATAAATGTGAAGCTAGGTCAACTAAATTTCTGATGTCACAGAAAAGACGTGTATACTCAGAATCTGAAGATGGCACTTTGTTTTCTGGCGTGGAATACAATTTTACTTAAGTAAAAAACATTTATTGTATTGATAATTATAGACAATATATTATCCAGGAAAATCAATGATATGTCTTACAAATAGAAACTGAGCAAAAAGAGGAATATAAGATCTCATTCATTAAATAATCAATAAAGTGATTTAAAACACTTCAAATGTAATATATTGGCCACATATAGATCAGACCAGATTTATTTAGCACAACACAATCTTCAATGAAAAATATGTATATATAATACCAACTTGTGGTTGGTTTTATTTTAATATTCAAGACTAATAAATTAAAAGTCTTGAATATTAAAAGACTTTAATAAAATCAAAATAAAAAAACAAAAGGTGACTTTGTTCTTATAAATAGCATTATTATCATTGCTACTAAACAATTATAGTTTTCCTCCACAACAGTAACTACAAAGATTATAGATATGAAACAGTGGAGGAAAAAGCTTTAAATCTAACAACTCTGAGTTCAAGTTATGGTCCTACTACTTGTTTACTAGGGGAGTGGAAGTGGGAAAGGGGACTGCTGAGCCAAGTCAATTATCCTATTTCAGCCTCAGATTTCTGGTGTGCAAAACTAAATTATGCAAAAGTCATGATGCTATTGTTAATATTAGAAATTATATATATAAAGGAGCTAGCAAGGTATCTGGTCCTAGTGTATGCTCAATAAGTATTATCAATCATCTTTAATTCCTCTTCAGAATAACCTAGCACAGATGAAGCTATTATTTAAAACGCACTCAAACCTTACTTGGCTCTTATTGTAGATTCTGTAACTACTCAATGTATAAAAGTATTCTATATATTTCTTCTAAGAAGGAGCCCTTAGCTGTTTATCAGGTTCAGGCATACAGAGTCCTCCCTCAGCATCCATGTGGGATTGGTTCCAGAGCCCATAAGGATACTAAAATCTGCAGATAATCAAGGCCCTGATAGAAAATGAGACAGTATTTGTATATAATCTATGCATATTGTCTCATACACTTTAAATCATCTCGAGATTACTTGTAATACATATAAAATATTAATGCTAATAGTTGTTATACTGTAGTTTAGAGAATAATGACAAAAAAAGTCTGCGCATGTTCAGTACAGATGTAATGTTCTCCCCAAATATTTTCAATTGTTGCACTTAGTTGAATCTACTGATGTGGAAGCCGTGGATATGGAGGGCCAAGTGTATATTTGCTTTTTGGATATATTAAGTTTGGCCACATCCAACTAAATGTGTCCAAAATTAAATTGATGTCCTCACCCAAGCCATGTGCACCCCTATTGACATCAACATGACGTCACCTTAAGCAAAACCCTGGGAAATATTTTATCTTATTTTTGACAAATCTATTTCTCTATTCTTCCTAACATACCCAGTTCAAAACATTAGCAGTATTTCCTGTAGACTCTTGTGCCTCTGCTCCCCTAAAATCTGCCTCCCACAGAGACAATCAGATGGATTTTACAAAAACATGTTTTCTCACTTGACTTTCTAATTTAAAAGTCTTTCCAAGAATTCCTCCTATTGACTAGATAAGTCTAAGTTTCTTATAAAAGAAAATTAAATTTTCTGTGGCATGGCCTTTTAATTTTCCAGCCCCACCTTGAATCAGTTTATGCCCCAGTAACACTGACTAATAATTATCTATAAACAAGAAGCTATTTCAGACCTTTGAGGCTGTGCAAATAGGGTCACATACTTCTTTTTCATTTGGTCAACCTCATCCTCTTATTGTGGGATGACTTCTTGGTACTCCTTCATTATCGTAAGTTCCCCATCAATAACCCCAGAAAGCCCAGAATTTACCTTAATCTCAAAATTGCTATGCTAAACTCAATTTAATTTATATTCTTTATATACTTTACTGTATTTTGGGGGCTTTCAAATGATGGTACTGTAGTTATCTTTGTTTTCCAGAATGTAGTAAATGGTAGTATGTAATAAATGGTTTGTTGGGCTGAAAGGAAACTTTTCCTATCACAGACACCTGAAGGAAATGAGGCCATTGAGAAATCTGAGAAAAGATCCATCCAGGCTGAGAGAAGATGAAAATCAAGCTCAAAAGCATATAGGTAGCTATGATCCTCAGAGATAGAGAGGAGACTGGTGCCACAACTGGAATGGACTAAGAAAAGCAGAGTTGAGTAGGAGATGAAATGTATAAACTGTTGACATGAGGGAGTGTCCTACCTGTAGTGATAGCTGACAAATTTCACTGAGCCCTTTTGAATTTATTTTAATGATTTGCCTTTTACTCAGAGTGAGGTGTGAAAGCACTGGAAAGCTTGAGTAATGGATTGAGATGTTTTCCATGTTACCAGGATCACCCAGGCTATTGTGTTGAGAAGAGATTGAAGAGAGCACAGGAAGACTTGTAATTGGAAGAAGTTTTCAACACTCTAGACTAGAGATTGCAGTGGCTTGGACTGGAATGCTAATAACCAAAGTGGCAGCAGTTGTTGCTTTCTGAATACATTTTTAGAGTAGAACACAGAGGAGTTGCTCCAGGTTATGTGTGGAGTTGGGGAGGAAGAGGGGCATTGAGGATGACTCTAAGGGTGTTTGGTCAGAGTGACTGCAAGATGGGAGACGCCTTAAACCTCTTATTGGATATAAAGTCACCAATAAGTTTGACAGGAGTACTGTTGAAATGAATGTCAGGCATGTAGGAAGTAAACTCTTCCAAGTGTGACTTCCAGTATGTAGATGACAATAGGATATGAGGTTAGAAAGAAGAAAATTTATTGGGAAGAGACCTATCATCTGTCGATGACAGCAAGGAGGGGTAATGGGCGTTATAATTATTTTTTGACACGAGATTCAAAGGAAAACAAACTATTGAGGAGGAGGAAATCTAGTTTAAAAATGTAAATGAGAATCTAATACTCCACCAACCGTATCTCTGTGATTAATGATGATCACACACCCTGCAAAGTTTAGTTACAGTCCATCAAGTTTCCTACACCTGGTGTAGTATTGAGTTATCTGACAAGTTTGATCTCGTAAGATTCTTGAGACTTCCTTTTTTTTTTGAACTAATATTAGTAAACTGTATCTTTTAGAAGAATCATCCATTTCTGTTTTCAAATTTTGCATACATTTAAGCAAAGTTGTCTCTGAATCCTACTTTTTTTCTATTTATATGTAGTTTCTTCATTAGATTTTATTGTATACAGTTTTACTTGTTCTTTTTTTCTTGATTAGGTTAGATAGTATTTTATCCAATTAATTATGTCTTTATTTTTGTTGTTTCTTTCCAGAGAACCAAATTCAGTCTCATTTATTTGTTTTATATATGTTTATAATACATTCATGTCTGATATTATAGTTATTAATTATTTTGGGGGATTTCTTGTGTTTTTATTTGTTTCTTTTATGAAGTATTATGACAACTATACATAATCTTGATAGGATTTCTCAAAAAGAAAAGTACAGACTAATTTTATTAAATAAAATAACAGCAAGCATATAATATCAGCTTATTTCAAGAGAAAAAAATTATGTCCTAATAGAATCTACACCATGGATGCAAAATAGATCCATCTAAGCCATGGATGCAAAATAGGAGCTATAGTAAGATCAGTCATTATATCATCAACTCAAGAAGAAAAGTCATTACTGTCCTCATATATGGTAGCTATTTATTTGATCTGAGAAAAGCACCATTACTATTTTAAAAAGTCAATAAAATAGAAATAGATGAGTATTTTTTTAACATATTAATAGTTTTTAAAACCATAGACCAATCTAATGGGGAAACACTGAGGCAGTCTCATTCAAGTCACAAACGAGACAAGCATTTTTATTGGAAGTATAATAGGAAATGAAAGTAAAGAAAGAAAATGGAGGCCAGGCGTCGTGGCTGATGCCAGTAATCCCAGCACTTTGGGAGGCTGAAGTGGGAGGATCAGTAGAGGCCAAGAGCTTGAGACGAGCCTGGGCAACATAGCAAAATTCTGATTCTACAAATTTGTTTTTAATTAGCTAGGATTGGTGGCCTGAACCTGTAGTCCCCACTACTAGTGAGGCTGAGGTGGGCAGATTGCATGAGCCCAGAGTTTGAGGCTTCCATTAGCCGGGATTGTGCCGCTACACTCTAGACTGGGAGACAGAGTTAGACCTGGGCTAGGGGGAAAAAATGTAAAAGAAAAAAAGCCTATTTACAATAAAAACAAAAGATGTAGAAATAGATCAAGTAAGAAATGTACAGAACTTACATAAAAAGAAAAACAAAAAGCCTGCTAAAAAACACAAAAAAATGCATGGACAAATGCAAATGCAAAATGTTCTTGGATAGAAAGATTCAACATCAAACATATATAATATATTCCTAAGTAATTAATATATAAATCTCTTGTGTTCCTAATAAAAACACAGTTAACAACAAAAACACTGAACTAGCTTATTTAAAGTCAAAGAGAAAACTTAACAGAAGGAGAGGGAACATTTTGGAGGGAAAACAGCATTGAGGTAAGTTAGTAGCACCAGAGGATAGAGCATACTATGTAAGCTTAATCATTAAAATTGTGTGGTAATAGGTTATAAAATATAAATAATAGAATTGAATAGAACATTTAGATCAAAATCAAAACACATAAGAAAATATATGATATAATAAATGCAACATCTCAAATTTGTTCATCATTGGATGAATATCACAATGTATTGTGTGGGGACCACAGAGTATTTGACTGGAAAGAACTATGGCTGCATTAATACCTCCTACTGTGTACTAAGATACATCTCAAATACAATAAAGATTTAAATATACAATATGAATCCACATAAACACTAGTAGAAAACGTAGAATAACTGTAATCTGGGCTTAACATACCAATATAAAAAACTGATATACTTGCACATATTCAAACTGATGCATGTTGAGTGTTAAATATTTCTCCATTGTCAATAAAAGAGGATAAATCGAAAAGTTTATCAATAATAGACTTCTTCTACAGTTTTATACTTATTAAGGAATATGTTTATCAATAATAGACTTCTTCCATAGTTTTATACTTATTAAGGAATATTACATAACTGTGAAAAAAATAATCTGAAGGATTTATCTAGTATCTACATGGAGAGGACTCCAGGATACATTCATTGTGAATGGAAAAAAACCCCAGCAAAGTGAAGGAATATATTAATATTTATTCATATTTTCTTGGAATGATACTGAAAATCTGGAAATAAACAATAAATTAACAAAAGGGATTTCTCAGGTGGGAGACTAGAAAGATGCAATTGTAATAGCAGGAAATCTTTTAGCTTGCTGTGTGTGTGTGTGTGTGTGTCTGTGTGCGAGTCTGTGTGTGTATACACATATTTAAATACATGTATTATTTTACATAACTATTTTAATTACCTATACACTCAGAAGTGACTTTGAAACCCTGAGACATTACATGCCACTGACACATCTGTTAATTTCTTTGAAGAAAAGAGCCTTTCTCTGTCTGCAGCCTTACTTTTCCATAATAAATTTGAAATATGCCTCTGATATTGTCCTCTTCCCAAAATTTAACCAAATCAGAATATGCATGCAGTTCCTGAGAATCTGGTCTCTCTGATTTTCTGATCTAATTTAGATGTTTATAGGATAAAAGAATACTTGCCGCGCTTCTTAAATTTAATTACAGGGTTAAACGGGCCCGATGAAAAGACTGCATTGGTTCTAATATAAATTACCTTCGCTCTGCAGGAGGAGCATTATCCGCTGCTTGGACCGTGAGTGCGTAAGTCCGCCCGACTATCATTTCCACCCCTGGAGCGATGGTGATAAGCCCTGTTGTTTTATTGATGATGAAGTCTCCCTGAGCCCCAACAAGGATTTCATATGTGATCTCCCCATTTGACCCTTCGTCTGCGTCGACTGCAGTGAGCTGGAATTGAAAATCACAACATAAATCCTCTTGGGTCTCAACTTTTCACCACCATGTCGTTTTTTCCCCCAACAAAAGAAGCTTGCTTTCAAAGAAAAAAACACAGGAAAGTTTCCTTGACATATATACTGTTTTTTGTTTTTTGTTTTTTTAACTGAGGCTACTGTGTCCTGTTACAATACTAAAGCAATCACAAAAATAAGAGTGATTTTGTTTTTTGTGAGAGTGATTAAGAAATAAACTTTGGATCTTGAAGGCTTATCTTTATTTTAATTTAATAAAGGGAAAAAGAGGAAAGCCCTAACAGAAAATCTAATATCCCTATAGGAAATTTATTTTTCCTGTCTTGCCTTGCATTCTTGACACATAAACTCATATTAAAACAGACTGAACCTGGAAAAAATGAAATAGGCATAGTCGGCCTTTGTTACTCCCAACCTTCCTTTTACTCTCATTTTTCCTTCCATAATGTTCTCCTCCCTGTCTCCCAGACACTCTCATCTTTGTGTCCTTTTTGTTTACAATTGCTCTAGGAAAGGTTATTAACTTGCACACCCTGATTTATAAAGGACTGATAAGTCGTAGAGTATTAATGTGTCAACAATCAAACAAATGCATCTCCCATTGTAGAATATCAAGGGTAACATAGCCCAAGAAATGTTTCTTTGGGGAAAGAAAATCTATTCGGAGCCCTTGAAATTAAGCATGTAAACATCTGTATAGCCAATTTACATATATCTATAATCATTTTGAAGGAACTGGTATCTAAAAGACTTTATTTGGGATATTATATGAAAAGATAACAATGATTAACTTCATCAAGCAACATTAAAGCAACAGTGATTTATTATATTAAAAGTGGCTCCTTGACTTGCTGATAAATATAAATTAAAGGGGAAAAAGAATATAAAGGGATTCTAGCAGAAATCTTATAGTAAGCATTTTACATACATCAATAGTATTTTCTGTATTCATCATACAAAAAGTGAAGAATGAAAGAAAGTGGTCTCAATTTACACATGAGGGAATATAATTAAAAGTTTTCTGTGGAATAAAGAAAACACATGTAATTGTAGTAAATTAACCTACCTGTAGAAATGTTTTATTTACTTATATTTATATTTTCAATACATTACTTCTAAAAATAGTAGTTTTTATAGTTTGCAGACTCCTTTGAAAATACAGTAAAGATGCTGGTATACCTTCCTTGATCAAATGTAAACATACACATTTACCTTGAAACTTGAATTCAATTTCAGAAACATCATATTAACTAATTTCCCATTCAAAAGTTCATGTTTAATATCCTCAATAAATGTAAACAAAGTACTTTATACACTGTACTGTGCTGAAGGGGTTATATTATGCATATTCTATTTTTTATTATATGTCATGCTTAGAGTGATAATGTCCATAGACATAGCAGCAAAAAATAATTGAGAATGAAAAAGGAAATGACATTAATGCAACTAAGTCCTGAGACTGGCTATTTGGGGGTGGACAGATGTGGTTGCTGGAAGGAAAGGCATTTTATGACATGATTCTGCGACTTGTATAAGCCTGACAGACATATTCCTAAAGGCAAAGGAGAAACATTTGCAGAAACAGTCAAAATGAATGGCATATATTTATAGAGAGCTATTCAAGCCAGACAAACTAATTCTGTTTTGTGTATGGATAAAATTAGAAAATTAGAGGATGGGGATAACAGAGGAGATATCAATTTTGATTATACTTAAATCACTTAAAATGTCTCAGGAAATCTTAATTAAAATTTAGCACAAATTGGATTCAATATTAACATTCTTCCTGGGACTTAAATTGGCTAAAGGAATGTAATGATAAATGGCAATGCATCAAGTTAAGAAAAGGTGTTAAGGAGTGTGCTTCAGGGATGTCAGCATTATAGCTGGTCTTATTTAACATTTTCATAAATGATGTTGGAAGGGAGGATAAGCTGGATGATAATTACATTGAAGAAGGTACCCACCTGGGAGATGCTAGAAATACCAAATAGTACTGCAAAACACAGGAGACAGAAACACCCACTAAATTGCAGAGATAGTCAACCACAGTTGAGCTAAGGTATTCAGGGAACACAATTAGCTCTGCAGAAATTATTAGGAGGTAGAAAGCTTAACAAGTACACAAAATAAGGATTCTATGTTTAAGTTACCTAGATAACACTATTTTTCAGTCTTTTACTACTAAATAATAAAATAATGGGTTATGAGTCAATATAATTTGTTTGCATGTATGCTAACAAAGATATTTTAAGGAAATTAATCGTAGTCCACCGTCAGAAAAATAAGCTGAGACACTGATTCTGAATACCCAAATCATAATAGTGTCTTCCATGTAAGATCCCGAAAACTCAAGACCTTTTTTTTTTTAAACCTCAACATTAGCAGGAGAATTGCTTGAACCTGAGAGGCAGAGGTTGCAGTGACCTGAGATCATGCCACTGCACTCCAGCCTGGCAACAGAGTGAGACTCTTAAAAAAAAAAAAAAAAAAAATCCAAAACCTCAACGACATTACACAGTAGATGTCCCCTTCTGAAGTCTATTAGATGATGTTGAATGGAGTTGTAGTTGCTAATTTTGGAGCTAACCTATGGCAAGAATTTAATTCAATTATAGTTCAATGACTCTGTGACCAGTAGATAGTGTCTATGAGATGGAAATATATGAAGCTCATTTCTAATTTAGCAGGGAAATCTGCTTCCTAAATGAAAAGGGCATTTATTTACATGGGGAGGCCAATATTTTGCTTACAAGTTTCAGATGAAAGTAAAAACAATACTATAACTTTAAAGTGTTTATTGAAACATTGTGATATCTAAAAGGTAAGAAATTGTGAGCTATTTGTTTTTTTTATTTCTTTTCGATGATGTTTTATAGTTCTATTCAGGAACTTTAGCCCTACCCTTTCATAATTCCTTCCTCTCAGTGTTTCAACATGTGCATATTCCAAATGTCCCCATCTGTATTAGTCTGTTTTCATGCTGCTTATAAAGACATACCTGAGACTGGGTAATTTACAAAGGGAAGGTTTATTGGAATGCCACGTGGAATTCCACGTGGGTAGGGAAGCCTCATAATCATGGCAGAAGGTGAAAGGTGCATCTTATGTGGCGGCAGACAAGAGAAGAGAGCTTGTGCAGGGAAGCTCCCCTTTTTAAAACCATCAGATCTCATGAGACTTGCTCACTATCACAAGAACAGCACAGGAAAGACTTGCCCCAATGATTCAATTACCTCCCACTGGGTCCTCCCACAACACGTGGGAATTCAAGATGAGATCTGAGTGGGAATACATCCAAACCATATCATTCCAACCCTGGCCCCTCCCAAATCTAATGTTCTCACATTTCAAAACCAATCATGCTTTCTCAACAGTCTTCCAAAGTCTTAACTCATTTCAGCATTAACTCAAAAGTCCACAGTCAAAAGTCCCTTCCACCTACGAGCCTGTCAAATCAAAAGCAAGTTAGTTACTTCCTACATACAATGGAGATACAGGCATTGGGTAAATACAGCCTTTCCAAATGGGAGGAACTGGCCAAAACAAAGGGGCTACAGGCCCCAAGCAAGTCCGAAATCCAGTGGGGCAGTCAAATATTAAAGCTCCAAAATGATCTCTTTTGACTTCATGTCTCACATCCAGGTCATGCTGATGTAAGAGGTGGGTTTCCATGCTCATAGGCAGCTCTGTCCCTTTGGCTTTGCAGGGGACAGCCTCCCCCCCAACTTTGTTTATGGGCTGGCATTGAGTGTCTGTAGCTTTTGCAGGTGCATAGTACAAGCTGTAGGTGGATCTACCATTCTGGGCTCTGGAGGACAGTGGCACTCTTCTCACAGCTCCACTGGTCAGTGCCCCAGTAGGGACTCTGTGTGAGGGCTCTGACTCTGCATTTCCCTTCTGCACTGCCCTAGCAGAGGTTCTCCAGGAGGGCCCTGCCCCTCAGCAAACTTTTGTCTGGGCAACCAGGTGTTTCCATACATCCTCTGAAATCTAGGCAGAGGTTCCCAAACCTCAATTCTTGACTTCTGTGCACCTGCAGGCTCAACACCATGTGGAAACTGCTGAGGCTTGGAGCTTGAAACCTCTGAAGCCACAGCCTGAGCTCTATGTTGGACCCTTTCAGCCATGGCTGGAGTGGCTGGGACACAGGACACCAAGTCCCTAGGCTGCACACAGAACAGGGACCCTGGGCCTGCCCATGAAACAATTTTTTCCTCATAGGCCTCTGGGCCTGTGATGAGAGAGGCTGCTGTGAAGACCTCTGACATGCCCTGGAGATATTTTCCCCATTGTCTTGGGGATTAACATTCAGCTTCTTGTTACTTATGCAAATTTTTGCAGGTGGCTTTAACTTCTCCTTAGAAAATGGGATTTTCTTTTATATTGTGTTGTCAGGCTGCAAATTTTCCAAACTTTTATGTTCTGTTTCCATTATAAAACTGAATGCACTTAACAGCACCCAAGACACCTCATGAATGTTTTGCTGCTAAGAAATTTATTCCGCCAGGTATCCCAAATCATCTCTCTCAAGTTCAAAGTTCCACAAATCTCTAGAGCAGGGGCAAAATGCCACCAGTGTCTTTGCTAAAACATAACAAGATTCACCTTTGCTCCAGTTCCCAAGAAGTTCCTCATCTCCCTCTGAGACCACCTCAGGCTGGACTTTATTGTCCACATCACTATCAGCATTTTGGACAAAGCCATTTGACAAGTCTCTAGGAAGTTCCAAATTTTCCCACATCTTCCTGTCTTTTTCTAACACTCCAGACTGCTCCAACCTCTGCCTGTTACTCAGTTCTAAAATTGCTTCCACATTTTCAGGTATGTTTTCAGCATCACCCCACTCTACTGGTATCAATTTACTGTATTAGTTAATTTTCACATTGCTGATATAGACATACCCGAGACTGGGCAATTTACAAAAGAAAACAGGTATTGAAATTACAGTTCTATATGGCGGGGAGGTCTCACAATCATGGCAGAAGGTGGTAGCAGATAAGAGAGGAGAGCTTGCGCAGGGAAACTTCCATTTTTAAAGCTATCAGATTGTGGGAGACTTATTCACTATCATGAGAACAGCAAGGGAAAATCTTGCCCCCATGATTCAATTACCTCCCACCAGATCCCTCCCACAATACTTGGGAATTCAAAATGAGATTTGGGTGGGGACATAGCCAAACCATATCACCATCAATCACCCATGTGACCACAAAATAATCTAAGTTGCTCCTAATGTTTCCTTTTAAATTTTGGCTGCAGTTTACTACTCTCTTTAATTGCTCTTTCCTGGTTCTGATAAAAAAAATACAGCTTGATATAAAAGGACAAATATAAAGATGATTGAATTGTGCATAAGCTGAACAAAAACATTCAAATTGGAGTCTCAAAAATGACACAGAAAGCCACAGTTGATATAAACCATATGCAAGAATATAAATTGTAATGCAAGAGTGTAAACACGGTATTTTATATGAATAAATATATTTTTTATTAGAAGTGAATTATGGGCCGGAAGCTGTGGCTCACGCTTGTAATTCCAGCACTTTGGGAGGCTGAGGTGGGCAGATCACGAGGTCAGGAGTTTGAAATCATCCTGGCTAACACGGTGAAACCCCATCTCTACTAAAAATACAAAAATATTAGCCAGGCGTGGTGGCGAGCACATGTAGTCCCAGTGTTTTTGGGAGGCTGAGGCAGGAGAATGGCATGAACCCAGGATGTGAAGCTTGCAGTGAGCCGAGATTGTGCCACTGCACTCCAGCCTGGGTGACAGAGTGAGAGTCTGTCTCAAAAAAAAAAAAAAAGTGAATTATGGCTTAATTGATAATGCATGAATGTGTTGATCATTTGATGTTTTTGCCTCTTGGGCATCCTTGGCTCTTGCTTCCAGTAAAAGTCCCTTATTTTCCTTTGGGGAGCAATTGGCAAAAAAACATGTCAAGTTATTCAAGTTGGTATAGTCAAGGTGACTCCTAGAACTACTGTAAAAGAGTGTTTTTTTCTTCCTCTAGGGCTAAACTGGTAAATTTATATCTGGTGTTTCTGCTGGCTTTCCAGTCTTCATTGGATGTACCTAAGACTGAGACCCATACAGAAGAAGACATGTCAAGAAATAAGCAGAAAATATCGCTCATGACATGGTTTCTGCTTATGCCTGAAACCAAATTCACCACTTTCTGATAGATTAAAAATTACATATTTTAAATGCTAATTTATTTTGAAATTATGTCTTTCAACCGTAAGAACCCTAAATATATAAAATAGTTTTGATGCTTAACTACTCTTCTTGGTTTGCTTTTTGATTATTTTTCTAGGATTATTGTGCTTCGAGATTTTGGTTTGAGATACCATGTAATCATTAATACAATAATGTAATATATAATTATTCATTACAATAGGCAAAGATATTGCTTGAAAGTGGTAGAATTGTCCCTGTATAGAAATAATATTGAATTACTCAATAAGTAAAAAAATACAGATAAATTAGCTGGTAAATATTTCCATCAAGAGAGGACAGACTCGATTTCAGGGAAATATTTAAATGAGTATTGCTTTGTTTTTTCTTCTTCATAATTTCATGGATAGAGGATTCATTCTTACATAGATATGAGCAACCTCAGCATACAATTTTTTTCATTATTAAGATGAGAACTTTCACATTTTAACTTAAAGGAAGCACTTTCATAGCTTCTCTTTGATATATATGAATTGCCAGAATCACTACTCCTGTGCTTTGGGACCATTGTTATGTAAAATAAGGGTACCACCACAGGTAATCTAATAACAGAGATAGCTTCTAAGTGACTCATGGGCAGGGAGCATAGATGTCCTGGAGATGCTGGACAAAAGGATGATTCATGCCCCCCCCAACAAGCTGGGGACAGAGTAGGACACCTCAAGATTTCATCACACTACTGAAAATGGCACAAAATTTAAAACTTTGGAATTGTTGATTTCTAGAATTTTCCATTTAATGTTCTCAGAATATAGTTGACCAAAAGTAATAGAAACCATGGAAAGCAAAACTGAGGACAAGGGAAGAATACTGTAAAAATAAACATGAACTGAGAGATTTACCTCACAGCATATGTAAAATTAACTCAAAATGCATCACAGACCTAAAGGTGAAAGCTACACTATGAATACTAGGAGAAGATAATATAGGAGAAAATCTTTGTGAATTTGGTTGGCAAATTTTCTTAAATATGACAGTAAAAGTATGATACAATAAAAAATAAACTTCCTAAAAATTAAAAGCTTTTTCTCTACCAAAAACATAAGAACATGATACATAAAATACAGATTATGTATTTGCAAAATATTTGCAGATCATATATCTGATAAAGGACTTGTATTTATAATTTATAGAGAATACTTACCAGTCAGTACTAAGAAAACAAACACAAATTTTTTAAATGAGTGAAAGATTTGAATAGATATTTCACCAAAGAAGATCAATAAATGGCTAATAAGCACATGGAAGTATCTCAAATTAATTTGTCATTAAGGGAACACAAAATCACAATGAGATACTAATAAGCATCTGTATAATGGCTTTAACAAATGAACTGACAATACTATCAGAGAGGATGTAGTGGGTGGTAAAATGGTACAAGCCACTGTTATTAAAAAGCAGTTTGACAGTTTATTTAAAAAGTATATATTTACCATGTAATCTAGCACTTTTCGTAAGATATCTATATATAACAAACAGAAAAATAAACATATATGTGTATATATATGTGTGTGTATATATATTTACATTTCCAAAAAGTGACTTATATAGAATATTCACAGTCACATTAAACTGGAAACAACTGAAATGCCCATCAACTGGTAAACAGATAAGCAGAATGTGTTTTCACAAGATGGATTCTATTAAGTAACTCAAAGAAACAGATATATAGCATTGATTCATGCCACAGCATAGATGAGCTACATAAACATTATGCTATTTAAAAAGCCAGGTAAAATAAAAGTAAAAGATACATACTATGGGACTCCATATTTTTTAATTCCTAGACAAGGAAAACTTTTAGAGGCAGAAACCAAAACAGGGGGTGTCTACAGCTGAAAATGGGAGTGAGCATTGACTACAAGTGGTCATGAGTAAAGTTTTGGGGTGATGGAAATTTTGGGGGTGAAAGAAATGTATAGAACTAGATTGTGGTCATTGTTGCACAACTGTCTAAATTTACTAAAACCAGCCCAACTCTTTCATGGAACTGATGTTTACTGGTCTTTGAATAAACACAGAAATTGACCCCCCACCCCCACCCCACCATACCCTGTCTTGAAGCTTGAAACTTACATTTGTCTCATGGGAGTTTCTTCCTCAGGACACTAACCCTCAACCCTCCTAGAAACCAAGGAACTGAAACTCACCAGATAACTGTATCCAGAAAATGAGATGCCAGACCTCTCATCCATGGATTATGATTCCAGTTTACCAATTCCTCTTCCTTACCCTACCCTAATATTTGTTTTTGCACAAGTATTTTTTCCCTGCTATATAAACCCCTAATTTTAATCATTTGGGGAGATGGATTTGAGACTTTATCTCCCATTCTCCTCAGCTGCAGCACCTGATTAAAGTTTTCTTCTCTGGCAATATTTGTTGTCTCACTGATTGGCATTTTGTGAAGCAAGCAGCAGGACCTAGATGAAACCCTTGATGTTTTGGTAATATACATACATGAGGACATGTAAATTATACCTTAATAAAGTTATCGAAAATAACAAAGATAATTCCACCCACACATCTGACCTTTTTAATGATATTTATCCATTTTTTTCTGCTACATTATAGAATGCCCTTCAGGCTACTTGTTCATGTATTGTTTCATCATTTGAGTAACTTTCTTCCTTCTTCCTGCCTTCTTATGCACCTCACAAAGTTTAGATCTTGATTATTTGTTTCTTTCTTTCTCTTTTAAACCACTGTATGTTCCTCTGCCTTCAGAGACTTTACTATCAACTCCATGAACTCCATGCTACCTTTGTAAAACTACTTCTTCCTCCTATGAATGGACAGGTATGAAAGCTCTGGCAAGCAAAGAAAAGCCAGACCCATGGAAGAAAAGCAGAATGTAATCAGCTAATCCAACTATGAAAGGCTGTCTGTGTTGAGAAAAGTAATCAGTAGAAGAGAAGGTGAAATTGTGGAATATAGAATGGAGAGCACACAAACAAAGATTTCAAGATAAGATACCTTCATATTTTCCTCTGAGAGAACATTTTATAGCAAGAGTATAATCTTCTTAGCAGCTCCCTTCAGATGTGGTAATGATTAATGGCCAATGCTGGAGAATTGCACAGATTTGGCAGAAATCAAGGTACAAGATATACTTGAGAACTCTACTGGGATCATTTGGGGTTAATGTCTCCTTATGACATGCCAGAATATGAGATAGGATTGTATCACTTGGGCCTTTTTCGTTGGTTATATTTATCCTAATTTTACATTTGAAGCCTTGAGTTAAATTCTAACTTTGACCTTATCTGATATGCAGTGGCTGGCAGCCATAGCTTATACATGTATAGATATGTATAAAAATGACATCACTTAAGGCATTCTTCGGTGGTTTCCTAGTATGACAGAGTCGATTTTTCTTTTTTGCCTCACCAGATGTGTTTAAGTGTGGGATGAAATATAAACAAACGTTTATGGAATCAGTATTGTAAACAAGAAGGTGAACAGTAAAGTTATATGGTGACCCCATATCCTGATGATTTGTTCCTAGAAATTCTCAAGGGCAATTATAAGGATCCTTTTGCACACTCAGGTTGAACTTCACCTAGAAGTAGAATATGCCTAATCTACAAGCTTCTGGGAGAAACAATACTTCTGTATGCACACAATATACTTGAATCGTATTCATATCATATATACTTAGAGGAAATGTATCAGTCTATTTTCACACTGCTATAAGGAACTAACTCAGACTGGGTAATTTATGAAGAAACGAGTTTTAATTGACTCACAGTTCCACAGGCTTAACAGGAAGCATGACTGGGAGGCCTCAGGAAACTTACAATCATTACAGAAGGCAAAGGAGAAGGAAGCACCTTGTTCACATGGCAGCAGGAGAGAGAGAGAGAGCGAGAGGAGAAGTGCCATATACTTTTAAACCATCAGCTCTCATGAGAAGTCACTCACTATCATGAGAATAGCATGGGAGAAATTTGCCTCCATAATCCAATTACCTTCCACTAGGCCCCTACTCCAATACTAAGGTTCACAACTCAAGGTGAGATTTGGGTGGGGACACAGAGCCAAACCAAACCGAGGAACAATCCTTGAGTCACCTTAATCAACACTGGACATAAAGAACTAAGAGGGATTTGAAGTTCAATAAATTAGTTTACTGAATCAAGTAGAGATGGCTTTTAGGCAAACATATTAACCTAAATAAGCAGAGTAGGGAACATTCTTTTTCAATAACTTGGCATTACTCAGGAATGATTACAGAGTAATCAATGATTACTGAAATAACAATTATAATAAATTCTGATGTATTTAAATGGTTCTAGTTGGCTATACTAGAAGATCAAGTCAGGAGGGACATATCTCTGGGAACTACGGACAATCTAAACTATACCAAGATGTCATTTGTAAGTATGGGCATTATCAATCTTCTATTACAGTCATATTTCTATGAACTAGGAAACAAACATCTTCTTCATGGTACCTTTGGCGAAGTTTGGACAGACTAAGAATCAATGCATTGCTTTATTAAAGAAAAGTGACTGGTGTGCTGCATTCATATGCAGAAGCTTTCGCTAGTGAAAGTTTATTCCTAGGGGATGGTTTATAGTTATGCTATCAGACCAGATGCAGAATTGTCGGAGAAAGAGTATCTAATGACTACTCTGGTAATGTAAAATGTATGATATGTAGGAAAAGTCTATTTTTTGCTAGGAAAGTTGAGAAAATAATTTGGAAATATTAAAGTGTATTGTGTTAAATATTTCATCTCTCTGCCTCAGCTCTATCGTGTGATAAGGGATTTTTAAATTCATTTATGTAGTTAGATAAAAATAAAATCTGAGTGCATACTGATCTCTAGGACAGAAAGATTATTTGGATGGGCAACATAAAACTTACAACTAGGTAATCCTTATGTAGAAGGATTTGCCAGAGAAAGAATTGAATTTACGTGTGTAAACTAATATACCCAGTTGAATGTATCAACACTTATAAAAAGGCAGAAGTAATAGAGGATAAGGGGGAAAAATTGTCTTTCAAATGTTAAAGAAATATCAGAACAGTTAAGTGAATCTATCTATGGTTGTTAATTTGCTTTGTAGAGGGAATTCCAACTTCTTAGTGTATGAAATATGCTCTGGTGATAGCCAGTGTTTTAACATCTATTTTTAATGCACTAGATATTATAGAAGTTAGTGTAACAAAAATTTTAAGAAGATTCCTCAGAAATGTGTAGCAAGTGGGTAACACATAATGAGTGCAGATGACTTAGAAGTCATAAGATATTATATCTAAAGTTACAAGACTTCTACTATGCTATTGCCATAGAAGCTATATTGTTGCCTGCCTGGTATCCTTAATTAAAGCTAAATCAACTTGGAGCTGTGTAAGGTCTACTGGGTCTCTCCAGGTTGGCATTCAGTCTGAACCTAAGGCTGCTGCTCATTAAACTATCACTGGAAATTCACTATTCAGTGTGATTTCTGATGGAAAAATGATATAATGGGTTTGCTTTTATGTTTGTTGATTTCTTCATGTGTCAATAACATTCAGGAAGTTCTTCAATAACTCCTGCTGGCCAAGCAAATTGGGGATTGCAAATGTATTTATTTTCAGATTTATTCTCTGTGGCCTTAATGTGAACAAGTGATGCTTTAAAGCCAAAAAGCATAACAGGCTCCCAGTTTTCCCCCTTCTCTTACGCATATCCTAGAATAATCCAAGATGATGGGCACCTCAGTAGGGTAGGTGGCTGGCAAATTTATCACTTTGGTTGTATAATTTGGAAAAAGATATTGATAACATTAATAATAACATGATCATTAAATACTTATATGAATAATTGTCACCGAAGATGAATCTCCCATCTATGCATTTTTCTTCCCAAAAAAAGGCAAGAAATAAAACAACAAGAAGATGACTTTAAAGCATTTCTTTTCACAGCCTGACTATTTAAAGGGCTTGTTTCTTTTCTGCAGCAACTTCATGATCCTTTTGTAAAGGTTCATTGGTTCTAATTACTCAAACTCTGAGACTGGAAACTGGAACCTTAAGTGCTCTAATGCTATCAAATTCTCTCATGCCCAACTTACACTCTCAAAAAAAGATTTCCTCAAAGTTGGCTTCCATTAATTTCCATCTCATTAGCTTTAACCCATCGATTTAAGGACCCAGTCTTTCATACTTCTTCAAGAAATCTCACGTTGTATACAATGCCAAATCTAAACTACTCTACATGCAAGGTAGCCATCTTAAATTAATTTATAAATAATTGGATCCATTTATTCAGACCTTAATTTGTACCAAATGTCTGACTCCGAAAAATGAAGAGTGGAAAAGAAACAGAAACAATAACTTCTGTCAAACAGAAGGTGCTCTAGGAAAGGAGATGAGAGAGAAACCTATCTTTAAATGAAATGCTGTTACAGAAACATAAAAATACTTTACAAAAGTACAGAAAAGCCTGTCATGACAAAGGGGCTGGGAGAATAAACCAACATATATTTGACTTAGTAAAAGAAAAGCAAATCTTTGAGCATTCAGTTCCTCTTCTCTCCAATGCCAGTTAAATTTGTATCTTTAATGCCTCATGAAATTACTATGCCTTTGGCCGTATCATTTCATCTTCAACATCATATTATCTTCACTTGCCTATCTGAGTACTCTAACAGATCATCATCCCCACTCACTTTTGATGAATTCTCGTTAGTGCTCTTAGTCTTTCTCATCAAATTTAACAACTCAATAATTGTGATGTTTTCTGATTATTTCACTGTGAAGAAGGATTATTTCTTGCAAAATATAGTCAACTCCTTGAGGATTAGGGCTGTGCCTTACTCGTTCTACGTATTTTTCAGAGCACTTAGTTTAGTACGAATCACCTAAAAATCTGTGTAGATTAAATTATAATCTAGCCAAGAAAGTAATACAACATGTAGCATACATATATTAGGACTTGCACAATAGTGCTTTTGTTTGTTTGTTTGTTTCCTTTGCCAAACTGGATGAGCAAGTTTACTAGGGTTTTAAGAAATCCCTACTGCTCTATTTAAATGTTTGTTTTTTCCCCTAAGATCTCCTGTATTTGAAATATCTCAATACCCAACTATTTTTATTTTACTCAGATGACTATGCTTGGACATTATAACTGTCAGGCCTCTGAGCCCAAGCCAAGCCATCGCATCCCCTGTGACTTGCACTTATACGCCCAGATGGCCTGAAGTAACTGAAGAATCACAAAAGAAGTGAATATGCCCTGCCCCACCTTAACTGATGACATTCCACCACAAAAGAAGTGTAAATGGCCAGTCCTTGCCTTAAGTGATGACATTACCTTGTGAAAGTCCTTTTCCTCGCTCATCCTGGCTCAAAAAGCACCTCCACTGAGCACCTTGCGAACCCCACTCCTGCCCGCCAGAGAACAAACCCCCTTTGACTGTAATTTTCCTTTACCTATCCAAATCCTATAAAACGGCCTCACCCTTATCTCCCTTCGCTGACTCTCTTTTCGGACTCAGCCCGCCTGCACCTGGGTGAAATAAACAGCCATGTTGCTCACACAAAGCCTGTTTGATGGTCTCTTCACATGGACGCGCATGAAATTTGGTGCCGTGACTCGGATCGGGGGACCTCCCTTGGGAGATCAATCCCCTGTCCTCCTGTTCTTTGCTCCCTGAGAAAGATCCACCTATGACCTCAGGTCCTCAGACCGACCAGCCCAAGGAACATCTCACCAATTTCAAATCAGGTAAGCGGCCTCTTCTTACTCTCTTCTCCAACCTCTCTCACTGTCCCTCAACCACTTTCTCCTTTCCACTCTTCAATCTCTCCCTTCTCTTAATTTCAATTCCTTTCATTTTCTGGGAGAGACAAAGGAGACACATTTTATCCGTGGACCCAAAACTCCGGCGCCGGTCACGGACAGGGAAGGCAGCCTTCCCTTGGTGTTTAATCATTGCAGGGACGCCTGATTATACACCCACGTTTCAAGGGTGTCAGACCACACAGGGACGCCTGCCTTGGTCCTTCACCCTTAGCGGCAAGTCCTGCTTTTCTGGGGAAGGGGCAAGTACCTCAACCCCTTCTCTCCTTGTCTCTAACCCTTCTCTGCTTTTCTGGGAGAGGGGCAAGTACCCCTCAACCCCTCCTCTTTCACCCTTAGCAGCAAGTCCCGCTTTTCTACAGGGCAAGAACCCCCAATCTCTTATTTCCGCACCCCAACCTCTTATCTCTGCGCCCCAATCCCTTATTTCCGCACCCCAACCTCGTATCTCTGTGCCCCAATCCCTTATTTCCATGCCCCAACCCCTTATTTCCGTGCCCCGACCCCTTATTTCTGTGCCCCATCCCTTATTTCTGTGCCCCGACCTCTTATCTCTGTGCCCCAACCCCTTTTCCCACTTTTCTGGAAGGTAAGAACCCCCGAACCCCTTCCCTCTGTTTCCCTACTCTCTCTTTTCTCTAGGCTTGCTTCCTTGACTATAGGCAACCTTCCACCCTCCATTCCTCCTTCTACTCCCTTGGCCTGTGTTCTCAAAAACTTAAAACCTCTTCAACTCACACCTGACCTAAAACCTAAATGCCTTATTTTCTTCTGCAATGCCGCTTGACCCCAATACAAACTCGACAGTAGTTCCAAATAGCCAGAAAATGGCACTTTGAATTTTTCCATCCTGCAAGATCTAAATAATTCTTGTCGTAAAATAGGCAAACGGTCTGAGGTGCCTGACGTCCAGGCATTCTTTTACACATCAGTCCCTTCCTAGTCTCTGTGCCCAATGCAACTCGTCCCAAATCTTCCTTCTTTCCCTCCCGCCTGTCCCCTCAGTACCAACCCCAAGCATCGCTGAGTCTTTCTAATCTTCCTTTTCTACAGACCCATCTGACCTCTCCCTTCCTCCCCAGGCTGCTCCTCGCCAGGCCGAGCTAGGTCCCAATTCTTCCTCAGCCTCTGCTCCTCCACCCTATAATCTTTTTATCGCCTCCCCTCCTCACACCTGGTCGGGCTTACAGTTTCGTTCCGTGACTAGCCCTCCCCCACCTGCCCAGCAATTTACTCTTAAAAAGGTGGCTGGAGCCAAAGGCATAGTCAAGGTTAATGCTCCTTTTTCTTTATCCCAAATCAGATAGCGTTTAGGCTCTTTTTCATCAAATATAAAAATCCAGCCCAGTTCATGACGTGTTTGGCAGCAACCCTGAGACACTTTACAGCCCTAGACCCTAAAAGGTCAAAAGGCCGTCTTATTCTCAAAATACATTTTATTACCCAATCTGCTCCTGACATTAAATAAAACTCCAAAAATTAAATTCCGGCCCTCAAACCCCACAACAGGATTTAATTAACCTCGCCTTCAAGGTGTACAATAATAGAAAAATGTTGCAATTCCTTGCCTCCACTGTGAGACAAACCCCAGCCACATCTCCAGCACAAAAGAACTTCCAAATGCCTGAACCGCAGCGGCCAGGCGTTCCTCCAGAACCTCCTCCCACAGGAGCTTGCTACACATGCAGGAAATCTGGCCACTGGGCCAAGGAATGCCTGCAGCCCGGGATTCCTCCTAAGCCGCGTCCCATCTGTGTGGGACCCCACTGAAAATCGGACTGTTCAACTCACCTGGCAGCCACTCCCAGAGCCCCTGGAACTCTGGCCCAAGGCTGACTGACTCCTTCCCAGATCTTCTCGGCTTAGCGGCTGAAGACTGACACTGCTTGATCGCCTCGGAAGCCCCCTAGACAATCACGGACGCCGAGCTTCGGGTAACTCTCACAGTGGAAGGTAAGCCCGTCCCCTTCTTAATCAATACGGAGGCTACCCACTCCACATTACCTTCTTTTCAAGGGCCTGTTTCCCTTGCCTCCATAACTGTTGTGGGTATTGACGGCCAGGCTTCTAAACCTCTGAAAACTCCCCAACTCTGTTGCCAACTTAGACCATACTCTTTTAAGCACTCCTTTTTAGTTATCCCCACCTGCCCAGTTCCCTTATTAGGCTGTGACACTTTAACTAAATTATCTGCTTCCCTGACTATTCCTGGACTACAGCTATATCTCATTGCCGCCCTTCTTCCCAATCCAAAGCCTCCTTTGCATACTCCTCTTGTATCCCCCCACCTTAACCTACAAGTATAAGATACCTCTACTCCCTCCTTGGCGACCAATCATGCACCCCTTACCATCTCATTAAAACCTAATCACCCTTACCCCACTCAACGCCGACATCCCATCCCGCAGCACGCTTTAAAAAGATTAAAGCCTGTTATCACTTGCCTGCTACAGCATGGCCTTTTAAAGCCTATAAACTCTCCTTACAATTCCCCCATTTCACCTGTCCTAAAACCAGATAAGCCTTACAAGTTAGTTCAGAATCTGCGCCTTATCAACCAAATTGTTTTGCCTATCCACCCCGTGCTGCCAAACCCATATACTCTCCTATCCTCAGTACCTGCCTCTATAACCCATTATTCTGTTCTAGATCTCAAACATGCTTTCTTTACTATTCCTTTGCACCCTTAATCCCAGCCTCTCTTCGCTTTCACTTGGACTGACCCTGACACCCATCAAGCTCAGCAAATTACCTAGGCTGTACTGCCACAAAGCTTCACAGGCAGCCCCCATTACTTCAATCAAGCCCAAATTTCTTCCTCATCTGTTACCTATCTCAGCATAATTCTCATAAAAACACACGTGCTCTCCCTGCCAATCGTGTCCGACTGATCTCTCAAACCACAGCAACTTCTACAAAACAACAACTCCTTTCTTTCCTAGGCATGGTTAGTGTGGTCAGAATTCTTACACAAGAGCCAGGACCACACCCTGTAGCCTTTCTGCCCAAACAACTTGACCTTACTGTTTTAGTCTAGCCCTCATGTCTGCGTGCAGTGGCTGCCACTGCATTAATACTTTTAGAGGCCCTCAAAATCACAAACTATGCTCAACTCACTCTCTACAGTTCTCATAACTTCCAAAACCTATTTTCTTCCTCATACCTGATGCATATACTTTCTGCTTCCCAGCTCCTTCAGCTATACTCACTCTTTGTTGAGTCTCCCACAATTACCGTCGTTCTTGACCCAGACTTCAATCCGGCCTCCCACATTATTCCTGATACCACACCTGACCCCCATGACTGTATCCCTCTGATCCACCTGACATTCACCCCATTTCCCCAAATTTCCTTCTTTCCTGTTCCTCACCCTGATCACGCTTGATTTATTGATGGCGGTTCCACCAGGCCTAATCCCCACACACCAGCAAAGGCAGGTTATGCTATAGTACAAGCCACTAGCCCGCCTCTTAGAACCTCTCATTTCCTTTCCATCGTGGAAATCTATCCTCAAGGAAATAACTTCTCAGTGTTCCATCTGCTATTCTACTACTCCTCAGGGATTATTCAGGCCCCCTCCCTTCCCTACACATCAAGTTCGAGGATTTGCCCCACCCAGGACTGGCAAATTAGCTTTACTCAACATGCCCTGAGTCAGATAACTAAAATACCTCTTAGTCTAGGTAGATACTTTCACTGGATAGGTAGAGGCCTTTCCTACAGGGTCTGAGAAGGCCACCGCAGGCATTTCTTCCCTTCTGTCAGACATAATTCCTCAGTTTAGCCTTCCCACCTCAATACAGTCTGATAACGGACGAGCCTTTATTAGTCAAATCAGCCAAGCAGTTTTTCAGGCTCTTAATATTCAGTGAAACCTTTATATCCCTTACGGTCCTCCGTCTTCAAGAAAAGTAGAATGGACTAAAGGTCTTTTAAAAATACACCTCACCAAGCTCAGCCACCAACTTAAAAAGGACTGGACAATACTTTTACCACTTTCCCTTCTCAGAATTCAGGCCTGTCCTCAGAATGCTACAGGGGTACAGCCCATTTGAGCGGTATAGATGCTCCTTTTTATTAAGCCCCAGTCTCATTCCAGACACCAGAGCAACTTAAGACTGTGCCCCCCAAAAAACTTGTCATCCCTACTATCTTCTGTCTAGTCATACTCCTATTCACCGTTCTCAACTACTCGTACATGCCCTGCTCTTGTTTACACTGCCGGTTTACACTGTTTTTCCAAGCCATCACAGCTGATATCTCCTGGTGCTATCCCCAAACTGCCACTCTTAACTCTTGAAGTAAATAAATAATCTTTGCTGGCAGGACTATGCTGAATCTCCTTAGGCACTCTCTAATCAGATATCCTGAGTTGTCCCAATTCTTAGACCTTTTATACCTGTTTTTCTCCTTCTGTTATTCCATTTAGTTTCTCAATTCATCCAAAACCGTATCCAGGCCATCACCAATCATTCTATATGACAAATGTTTCTTCTAACATCCCCACAATATCACCCCTTACCACAAGGCCTCCCTTCAGCTTAATCTCTCCCAGTCTAGGTTCCCACGCCGCCCCTAATCCTGCTTGAAGCAGCCCTGAGAAACATCGCCCATTCTCTCTCCATACCACCCCCCAAAAATTTTCGCCGCCCCAACACTTCAACACTATTTTGTTTTATTTTTCTTATTAATATAAGAAGCCAGGAATGTCAGGCCTCTGAGCTCAAGCCAAGCCATCGCATCCCCTGTGACTTGCACTTATACGCCCAGATGGCCTGAAGTAACTGAAGAATCACAAAAGAAGTGAATATGCCCTGCCCCACCTTAACTGATGACATTCCACCACAAAAGAAGTGTAAATGGCCAGTCCTTGCCTTAAGTGATGACTTTACCTTGTGAAAGTCCTTTTCCTGGCTCATCCTGGCTCAGAAACACCCCCACTGAGCACCTTGCGACCCCCGACTCCTGCCCGCCAGAGAACAAACCCCCTTTGAATGTAATTTTCCTTTACCTACCCAAATCCTATAAAACGGCCCCACCCTTATCTCCCTTAGCTGACTCTCTTTTCGGACTCAGCCCGCCTGCACCCGGGTGAAATAAACAGCCATGTTGCTCACACAAAGCCTGTTTGGTGGTCTCTTCACGCGCATGAAAATAACAAAATTTACTACCAGTGAAAGCTGAAAAGAAAATGAGCTCTTTTTTGGAAACAATAGGTGAATAAAAGCTAAAATTGATCAAAGAAATGTTTCATTTATTGGACATATACTAAAGAAAATAGTATAAAATATATTGTACATTTTGTTTCTTCTAGAGCAATATCATATTTCAAGTCAAATATCTAGTAAACCAGCAATATATAGAACCATAAGTATGAGCGTGAATATAGTCAAAATTAAAAATACACAATTTACATGATTGTAAAAACAATCACATACAAATAAGCAGAAGCTTCATAAAAAATGCAAGCACCTAAGCATTAATTATTGAAACCGGACCATGAAATTGGACAACTTTCACTATGACAACCAAAAAACATGATACAGAAATATAAAAGTAAATAATTGTGTTTACAAATGAGTTTTCTTTAAAAAGCTACACTGTTAAGTATATCAAGGAAAGGGGATAACGTCTGAAAAATAATATAAAATCTAAATATTCTGTTTTCAGTTACACAAATTCAAAATGCAAGGAATTGTGATTACTATAATGCTAGCATTAGTATTTCTTCAAATTTATCAAATGGGAAACCTCAGCCTAAACTACATAAGCCCTAAGGTTTTAAGAGATACTGAAATATGTGCTAAACACTTAATAATGTTTAATTTGATGATCTAAGTCATATTTGTCATGTATTATAAAACCAAAATATAATTTGCCTTTCTTCATTAGTAGTCTAGTAATTACTTAAGGTCATAAACTATATGTTGATAGTTTCTTTATTTCTTATGATTTGGCATCGTGCGCAATACTTTAAATGCTCTACACAATAAATCATTTTCAAATAAATGTGTTAATTATTCAACTTTGCCTCTTTAACAGCATATATGATTGACTTATGTTTTCAGTCAGTTTAGCATCTCAAGAGTCTTTTTGAAGTGATTCTTCTGAATAATCAAGTTTGGAAGTACTACGTTATAGGGATACTAATATAACTGTAGTTTAAAATATTTTACTTTGTAAAAAATTTAAAAATGAATTAACCTGAAATATAAGTTATTTCCCATGACTCATAAATAAATTCCTAATACATATTTTACCTACATCTATTAGTTCTTTTTATCCATTTATTCATTTAACAAATAATATTTATTAAAGGTCAATGTGCTGGGACTGTGTAAGGTGTTAGGCATACAGTAGTGATAGAAAAAGAAGAAAAGTATGCAAAAAAATTGACAATAATTTTATTCCATTTGAGCCTATAATTAAGTGAGAGAAACAGATAGTTTAACCATATAATTATAAATTTTTAAATGTGCTGTGAAGGAGAAATCAGGATGCTCCAAGATAATAAAGGGGTAACATTGAGAAGAGGAAATCATGGAAGTCTTCTTTGAGGAAGCGGCATTTAAATTAAGACCTAAAAGACGGAAAGCATATGAATGAAAGTTATCTCATCACTGTGGGAGCATCATAACAAATAAGAGAAAGATAAAATGCTAAGTGAAGAAATTGAACGCTAATCCAGTAATACAGGATATCGATTATGGGCTTCATTTTTATAGCAGTAGAAAACCATTGAAGGGGTCAAGCATGCTAATTATTTGAGTGATTTCAAATGTAATATAGCCCACTGGCTAATGAATGAAGAAGAGGGAAAGAGGAGACATAAATAATACTCATAGAAGGACATTTCACAGGTTTAGGTGAAAGTTGATGGTGGCAGTGAAAGAAAAATTAAGGCCGGGCGTGGTGGCTCACACCTGTAATCCCAGCACTTTGGGAGGCCGAGGCAGGCAGATCACGAGGTCAGGAGAACCAGACCATCCTGGCTAACACGGTGAAACCCCGTCTCTAATAAAAATACAAAAAAAAAATTGCCGGGCATGGTGGTGGGCTCCTGTAGTCCCAGCTACTCAGGAGGCTGAGACAGGAGAATGGCGTGAACTCGGGAGGCGGAGCTTGCAGTGAGCTGAGATCGCACCACTGCACTCCAACCTGGGCGACAGAGCAAAAAAAAGAAAAAAAGAAAAACAGGTAGATGCATTAAATAAGTATATGAGAAAAAATTGGTAGGAGGTGGTAATAGATTGGAGATGGGAGTAAATGAGTATGTTTCAAGAATAACTTTTTCCAATCAAATGGAAGGTGTTGCTATTTTCTTTTCCTTCTTTCTTTTTTCTTTTTCTTTTCTTTTTTTTTTTTTTTTTTTTTGAGACAGAGTCTCGTTCCGTCACCCAGCCGGGAGTGCAATGGCGCGATCTTGGCTCACTGCAACCTCCAAGAGATTCTCCCGCTTCAGCCTCCTGAGGTGTTGCTAGTTTCTTAGATTGGGGAATATCATCCATTTGAAAAAATGCTGATAGTGTAATCAAACTTGGAATTCAATTAAAGTCCTAAGCATGAGTGAATAACCTGTATAAGTTCAGAATTACATGTTGGTGTATATATTTCAATTCTAATACAAATAGGTTTAGCCAAGAAATGGAGTGGTCTTTAGAAAAAAATAAAATGCTTCAAATATCAAAAATAAATTAAAATTGTGTACTAATGTAAAAATAGGTCCACATTTTTGTAAGCTTTGCTCATGAAGACTTTATCCGGTATTTGCTGAAATACTGAACCCCCTCAAGACCTTAAGTAAATATAACCCTCAAACTTTAATCATGACATTATACACACAAACCAAAGAAAACAAAATCATTATTTGAAAGAAATTGTCGTCTATGGCCATACCACTCTGAACCCTCCCAATCTTGTGTGAAATAAATTGTCAAGAGACATTAAAATACGATGTAGTTTTATCTTAAACTTGAATATTTGAAATTACAAAAACAGAATTTAATATGTAATTTTATATGTTATGTACGTGTCCTCCACAGAGCACTAAATAACACAGGACACTCAGAAGTATATACAGATAAGGTAGCAACAAATATTAATAATCATAAGTGCTTTACATAATTTATGAGAATGGTACAGTAATAATAGCAAGTTACCACATGCAGCATTTGCTAAGCATGCATGTGATAGTAGTTTATATAGTTAGTTTAATAATCACAACACTCTTTTGAGGTTGGTACTATTATTATCACCATTTTAAAGATTGGAAAACTGAGGTACAAAAGGTTATGTCATGTAATGGTACAAAGTGGCAGAAAGAAATGCAACTAGCTAGCCTGCCTCCCAATTCTATTGTCTTTAAATTGGATTCTACTTCATCTCTGTCACTTAAAACCCTCGTTAATTTGGAACAATCATCTGTCATTATATTAACTCACATTTTTCTATAAAATTAGGCTATAAAAATAATTATGTTCAAAGTTTTTTCCTATGATATATTACCTATGATATAGAATAACTACCTATGATATAGGTATGATAATTACCTATGATATAGGTATACCTATGATATAGAATAACTACCTATGAATAATTACCTATGATATAGAATAACTAAGAAATTAAAATATTTCCAATTTAAGAGCAGGAAGGGGTAGCTTGGCTAAAGCTGTGAAGTTAGAGATCATCTCGGGAAAGGACTATGTGAGGTGATACTTAGTGTGTGATAGAATTCTTACGCCAAATAGAACATATATCTAAAATTAGGTGTTTTCTAAACTCATTGAGGGTACATTAGTCGAGGGAATTAAATTCTATGGACATTAACTGAATTCCTACTGTGTGTAAGTCATTATACTGACCACTCGTGGTTAGATCATTAAAAGTTTTTGTCTTAAAGGAACTTACAGATCAGTAGGGGAGACAGACACGTAAAAGTTAGCCTTAACGCAAGCCACAATAAAACATGTGGGAGATACAGTTGATAGCTGGTACGTGGAAGCAATTAATTTTGACTTGCTAGGAAAATATAGCCTTTATTAAAGAGGTAACAATTGTACTGTGTGTTAAAGATTTTCTTTTTTAAAGATACAACTTGGATCAAACCTTCAACCTGAGAGAGCTCTCAATAGTTACAGAATAAGAAGAATATTCCATGCTAAAAACAAGTAAAACAAAACCCTATATATTATTCTCGGATTCATAACATGAAGGGATGTAGCAGGAGATGAAACAAATATATTTAAGAGTATTACATAGATGTCCTTGACTGTATGTGTGGAGCTTTCTTCCTTCCATTGGTAGGTTTTCCAGGAGGGTGAGGATCTGTTCTGACTCAGTTTCAGAATAATCATCTGAAACAGTGTGGTAGGAAATCCATTGAAATAGCCAGATTGCCCAACATAGTTTACTGTAGTAGCCTAAATTATGGCAGCACATAGGCATGGAAAAGGAATTGGTGGTGGAAATGGGAATGCAAATTGGTACAGTCACCTTAGAAGACAGCTTCTCAGTTTCTAACAAAGATATCCATATTCATTCTATATGATCCAGCAATCCCACTCCTTGGTATTTACCAAAAGGATTTGAAAATTTATGTCCATGTAAAAAAAAAAACTTAGCATGGATGATTATAGCAGCTTTATTAATAATGGCCAAAACTTGAAAGCAACCAAAATATTATTTCATGGAAGAATGAATAAATAAACTGTGTTACATCTAGATAATGGAATATTATACAGCCCTGAAAAGATATGGGCTATTATGTCATGAAAAGACATGGAGGAATTTTAAATACGTATTACTAAGTGAAATAAGCCAGTCTGACAAGGCTACATACTATATGATTCTAAACACATGCTATTCTGGAAAAGGCAAAATCATGGAGACTGTAGAAAGATCAATGATTGTCAGGGGAAGGAAGCAAGCAAGGGGGAGGGAAGCATAGGCAGAGCACAGGATTTTTAGAGCAGTGAAACTCTTCTGTGTGGTTCTATAATGGTGGATATATGTCATTAGTACAAAACCATAAAATGAAGCACCGAGAGTGAATCCTAATGCAAACTACAGACTTTGGATGATAACAATGTGCGAATGTAAGTTCATTAATTGTGGCAAATGTATCACTTTGGTATGGGGTGTTAATATTGGGGCAGGTATGCATCTGTGGGGACAGTGAGTATATGGGAAATCACTGTATCTTCCTCTCAATTTTGGTGTGTACCTAAAACTGCTCAAAAAAAATCTTTAACAAAAAAGATGAAATGATGATCTACAAATACATTCTAAAATAGAAATTGCCTAAACTGAACAATAATTTGGATGTATGCAGGTAAAGCAGAGGGAAAACAAACAAGACTGCAAGGTGCCTATCCTGCTGCCTGTGGAACCTAAAGATTAATGGTGTGCATCATGATATAGCTGCCTCCAACACGACTAGATGCATGTTTTTGAGTGTCTGTGTTTGTTTATTAAAATAAAGATAATTGATTAGTTAATGTATTTTTGGATATGTGCAATTTGAAGTGCTTGTAAAAGATCTACTTTGTCATGTCCAGCTGATATCTGGAATGTCAGCTTGCTGCTTGGGAAAGAGGTCATTACAGGGCATTTAACTTTGGGAGACAAGTATATATAGAGGTGATGATTGAAAACTTGAGAACAGATGAAAAAGAGAAGAAGTATATATACGTATTTGAAGAACGTTAATTTTTAAAGGGTGATAATTGAACAAGGGGCCAGTAACATCTCTCAGCCAACAGAGAAGTAGGATGGGAACCAGGGAAGTTTTTCATAAAAGGGTATAGTTGAGAGTTTCAAAAAGATTAAGGACTTTTGACTTTGACATGTAGAAATAGACTGATGGGATATCTAATTTTATATGATTTTAGTGGTGTGATGTGAGTGAAACCCAGAGTATATTCTATACAAGATAGATAAATACAGATAGAAATATAGAGATAGATATAGATCAATATATGTATGCAGGCACTTAGATTGATACATTTTTGTCGATAAGGAAAATAATCAGAGTGGGATAGAAGCATGAAGAATTATATCTGGGAGTAGGGATTAGACCAGAACCTGGGGATGTTAATAATGTTAATTGGGCAAAGGGAAGGGATTAGTCACTGGAGAGAGATTATTGCATCAAAAAAATAGAATAATTGGTGGAGCACAGAAATTGGAAGGAGTGCAGTCTAAGACAGGAAAGAAGAGTAAGAAGCATCACAGAAGAAGGGAAGGAGAACTAAAAAACAAAAGAACAATGAAAAGAAGTGGGGTGAGGATCAGAGGACTCAACTTTATGTGGGATTCCATCTTAATGACTTAAGAAGTACCAGAATCTACAATGAACTCAAACAAATTTACAAGAAAAAAACAACCCCATCAAAAAGTGGGCAAAGAACATGAACAGACACTTCTCAAAAGAAGACATTTATGCAGCCAAAAAACATGTGAAAAAATGCTCATCATCACTGGCCATCAGAGAAATGCAAATCAAAACCACAATGAGATACCATCTCACACCAGTTAGAATGGCAATCATTAAAAAGTCAGGAAACAACAGGTGCTGGAGAGGATGTGGAGAAATAGGAACACTTTTACACTGTTGGTGGGATTGTAAACTAGTTCAACCATTGTGGAAGTCAGTGTGGTGATTCCTCAGGGATCTAGAACTAGAAATACCATTTGACCCAGCCATCCCATTACTGGATATATACCCAAAGGACTATAAATCAGGCTGCTATAAAGACACATACACACGTATGTTTATTGCGGCACTATTCACCATAGCAAAGACTTGGAACCAACCCAAATGTCCAACAACGATAGACTGGATTAAGAAAATGTGGCACATATACACCATGGAATACTATGCAGCCATAAAAAAAGGATAAGTTCATGTCCTTTGTAGGGACATAGATGAAATTGGGAATCATCATTCTCAGTAAACTATCACAAGGACAAAAAACCAAACACCGCATGTTCTCACTCATAGGTGGGAATTGAACAATGAGAACACATGGACACAGGAAGGGGAACATCACACTCTGGGGACTGTTGTGGGGTGGGGGGAGGGGGCAGGGATAGCATTAGGAGATATACCTAATGCTAAATGACGAGTTATTGGGTGCAGCACACCAGCATGGCACATGTATACATATGTAACTAACCTGCACATTGTGCACATGTACCCTAAAACTTAAAGTATAATAATAATAAAATAAAATTTAAAAAAAAAGAAGTACAATTATTCAGTGGTACTTTTAAAATATTGTTGTTTAAAACTGTAACTCTCAAAATTGGCTGCATATTAGAACTGTTTCAATTTCTTAAATAAAATCTGTCTAAGTGAGTCCGTTATGGGTGGCCAAATCATTTAAATACAAACATCTTAGAATGAAGTGCTGGCATCAATACTTTAAAAGTTCCTCAGGCAGAATGCTAATAGTCAATTATCATTGAGAATCACAGTTTAAGAGAATTGCAGATGTTTGCGAATAGTGTTTATGGAGCATTAATTGGATAGCTAGCTACTAGTATTTAAATTGACATCTTCAAAATATTAAAATCTGTATCCTGTATAGGGAGTAATTGTCTTTTCAAGAAAACTAGCAATGTGTGGATTGGTATTAGTGGAGCATAGTATTTATTAGTTTCAACCTATACGATTGCATTGACATCTGATAAAACGGTCTGCATGGAATGAAAAATGAAATTATCTCATGCAGTAATTTTCCCTTAAACAAAATATGTGCTAATAATGTGATTATACTTCAGCTCCGGTTACGGAAGATGATGTTGGTGCTTTAAGGCATCACTCCTCTAAGTGTTGTTCATGACCCATGTGCATGAGAATCACTCCAGGCTTTTTGAAAAAATCAAGTGTAAGAGACATATATAAAGTCAGAAGCTCAATTTATAACTGAGAACTTATAACAAGGATCTGGTTAAAACTTTATAACCAACTCATTTGCTCCTTGCAGACAGGGTAGATACTTAATAAGAAAAATATACTGTACTTAAAAAATTGAGTATGCACTCACATCAGGCTAAAAGAGTCTCATGGCTACATTGAAAATGACAATAATTAAAACCTGTTGCCCAAGTGTCTCTTTCCTTTAAAGTGCTCATTGTCACTTTTGTTTCTGACACTTTCAGTCTTTGACATCAGTTTACTAACCACAAAGTAAACTGATGTATCCTGTGTCAGGTCAATGGGGAAAGGCAGGGTTGTGATGAGGTGTAGCATAGGGACCTATGTCATGACTCTTAAAGGGTATATGTAGATCAGAGTTCTGTATCAAGTTTCTTTGTTTTAAAAATATTCTCTCAATGAGAACTAGTTTATGTCTAGGTTCTTGGAGGATGTTTTATAGCGAGACCATTCTTCTACCACATACCAGAAATAACATTAAAATACTAATTATAAAGCTTAATTTGTTGACTTAAATAATTTTTAAAATTGTGGGCATGCTGACACAAACAACAGTCTATCTTCATAATCTGCATAGTTCAGGAAAATATATAAAAGTCTTGAAAGGCAAGGAAATATCTGTTTTACAAAGAGATACATAAGGGAAATTAACTTTTGTAGACTTCAAATGAGGAAATAAGCCTTTGATCCCCTAAGGCAAACATTTTTGAGATACAGTTTCTCCATATAATTGCTATGATTTTCTTACTTACACTTTGTAGTTCCCTGCTGGCTGTTTTTCTGTGTAAACTTACTTTCATTTCCAATTATGTCATTATAGAGATGAAAATCAGCTCTAATTAAATAAGAACATGACAATAATTGTCATTCATTTATTTATGTAAACTATGATTTTTCTACCTGTGAAAAGGTGATTTAGCAAAGAAAAATGTAGCTCTCATGGTCCATCAATTGACTGGAACTAATAGTCATGTATCTACAGCTTCCCATTCTCTCATATCTTTATTCATTCAATATTACTTGTCTAAGGGTCTTCCTTTCTTTCATCTTCAAATAAGCATTTATTAAGTAGCTACACTATATTTATTTTATTTTATAATTTTAACTTTTATTTCAGATTCAGGGGGTACATACGCAAGTTTATTACCTGGGTATATTGCATGATGTTGAGGTTTGGGGTATGATTGATTCTGTCACCCAGATACTGAGTATAGTACACAATAGTTAATTTTTCAATTGTCTCTTCTCCCTCTCTCCCTCCATAGTAGTCCCCAGTGTCTTTTGTTGCCATCAGCAGCTACCGTATTAAACATCTACTATATGCCATGAACTATAGATACAGATGCCACAGATACAGAAATAAACTAGTTACAGTTTTGCCCTGAAATCAAATGCTTTAAAACACATTCATTTTATTAATGTGACAAGTACCATACCAATATATTAAAAAATTTACCATAGCAGTTTGAAACGTTTTTTCTCTCTTTACCAAATACACAGCAGAAGCTATTTACACATAGAATAAACATTCCGGTGAATTCCCAGTCCCCAGGCTATCATGTCACCCCTTCTATAGAACTCAAGAAAGCATATCTTAATTCATAAATAAAAAATAATAGCATTGAATGATTTCTTTTTTCTTTCACATTTTGCTTGTTTGTTTGTTTTTTGTGTTTTTCTTTTTAAGACGGAGTCTCTCTCTGTCCCCAGGCTGGAGTGCAGTGGCGCCATCTTGGTTCACTGCAATCTCCACCTCCTGGGTTCAAGCAATTCTCCTGCCTCAGCCTCCCGAGTAGCTGGGACTACAGGCGCATGCCGCCACGTCCGGCTAATTTTTTTAAAAATTTTTATTTTAGTAGAGGTGGGGTTTCACCATATTGCCCAGGCTGGTCTCGAGCTCCTTAGCTCAGGCAATCCGCTCGCCTCGGCCTCCCAAAGTGCTAGGATTACAGGTGTGAGCCGCCATGCCCAGCTGCATTGAATGATTTCTAATTTTAATTAACAATTAATGCAAAGTTGGTGATGATTTATCCTTGGAATAAATATTTACTGCATGGCTAATATGTCTGCCATGTGCTGGCATTACAGTGGCAAACAAGACAGCCAAAGTTGCTAACCTCCTGAGTTTTCCATTTGGAGTAAGGGAAAGAAGAAAATAGGTTAATTTCAGATATGGGCTATGACCTTGATGAGAGAGGAAAAGAGAGAAAAAAAGTGTGTGTGTGTGTGTGTGTGTGTGTGTGTGTTTGAAATAACTTATTTAAGTGTAATAAGCACAGATAATGGTAAAAATAAGATAAATCAGGAATAAAGATGTTGCCTGACTTACATGTTTTCAAAGTTACCATTTACTATCTAACTTAAATTTTCTCTGCTGTAATGATTATATTTTATCTAGGTAACCAATATCTAGTGGGATTATGCATCAATTTACTAAGGCAGTTTTTTGTATTTATCTCCAAGTGAAATTTAATCAATTTCTACAGTAGTGAAAAGTAATTTGAAGATTTAATATATTCAGTATTTTAATAAAATATAAACTGGTCAAATAGCTATGCTTTTTTTTTTAAAGTAACAACCAAGCATTTATTCACTTACTACAAATAGCTATGTTTACCTCTAATAACCAGTTAAGTCTCCTTTAGAGTCCATATAGATATGCTTTTATTTGTTTTTGGTTTTTTGTTTTTGTTTTTGTTTTTTTTTGAGATGGAGTTTTGCTCTTGTTGCCCAGGCTGGAGTGTGATGGCATGATCTCAGCTCACCGCAACCTTGGCCTCCCAGGTTCAAGCGATTCTCCTGCCTCAGCCTCCTGAGTAGCTGGGATTACAGGCATGCGCCACCATACCCGGCTAATTTTGTATTTTTAGTAGAGACAGCGTTGGTCAGGCTGGTCTCGAACTCCCGACCTCAGGTGATCCACTTGCCTTGGCTTCCCAAAGTGCTGGGATTACAGGCGTGAGCCACCATGCCTGGCGGATATGCTTTTATTTGAAAAGTAACAGAAATTTAAAGCTATTTAAACTAATTATGCTATACAATAAGTGTGAAATCAATTTCTGTTTCTTAAGTAATTTCTTCATGAGCATATCGTATAATGCACATGTAAATAACAGCTTTGAGTGTACACTTATATTATGTGAGTAGTTACCTGTATGACACTGTCCCCAGGTCTCATGTCTGTATAAACATACACATCATAGGATATTTCAGGGAAGGTTGGCGTGTTATCATTTGCATCCATCACTTGAATATTGACGATGACTGGCTCACTTTCTTGTACACCATCAAATGCTGTTATCTTTGGGAGGAGAAAAATACACTTAGTAGAGATGTTCTGCAAATATAAGTAGTACAGAGTTTGCTCTTACAGTTTAACAAGTTTCTTACAGGTAATCTTACAATTTGAAAGGGTGCAAAAATATTTTGTTGATAAAAGGACGTAATAGAGACGTAATATTACATATATTAAAAGTGTTCTAATATGGTAAGAAGCAAGTATTGAAGATTTTGTTTTAAGGTATTCAACTCCAGGCATATTTTAAATAATCAGATATGCAAAATATCATTTAAAGTGGGCCAATAACATTGCTGACTCTTAGGGTTAACTACAATTTAATCCTTAAAAACTTAATTGGAAAATATTATTTGCATTTACATATTTTGTATACAATAGTTCCTTGTACAGTCAATGTGTTTATACCATCAGGAAGGTAGACTTCCTAGATGTACTTTGTATCACAGTAATTCACCCAATGGCAATTTTCAAAGGACTAAGTGGTATCATTTAATTGTGATATTTTATACTTTATCAATGTTGATAATGTATGTTATACTTTATCAATGTTGATAATGTACATTATCAAGATTTTAACAATTCCTGCCAAATCAGTGCTACAGCACCACCATCTTTGTCTAAATCCACTTTGTATCTAACTTTTAACAATCACATAAACTTTCCTGGAAGTTCTGATCTTTTTCTATGTAGGCTTCTCCAGAAATAATTTCTACATATCTTGTTTAACTTGTGCTTTCTCTTAGCTCATCTTTCTCCTGTGACTGATTCAAAAATTGGGATATAATTAGAAGTTACATTTTTTCTTTATCCAACTGTCAACCCTACTATACTTGTTATTTACGTGTTTGTGTGCATGTGTGTGTATGTTTATGTGTGTGTGTGTATTTCCCTATCTCATGATAAATATTTACAATCACAACTTTAATAACCTTTACTTTTTTTCCCCCTTGATTAGCCTAACCCATGATTTATCTACCTCAGTGCTATTGACACCTTGGGACAGATAACTCTTTATTGTGAGGGGCTGTTCTCTGTATTACAATTAGCAGCATCCTTTATGTCTACCTACTAGATGCCTATAGTAACTACCCCTTCACAATTGTGACAAACAAAAATGCCTCCAGATGTTGCTAAATGTTCACTGGAGGGAAAATTTATTCCCTCTTGAGAATCACTGGCTCAACCTTATGACTAAATAAAAAATGCAAGAACAACAACAAAAAAGGTTAGGAAATAATTCTTTATACCTCAATTTAAGACAATTATGACTGTTTAGTAAAGACTGAAATTCTCACTTTCTTTTTTTTTTGAAAAGTTTTTTCTTCTGTGAGGAAGAATGTTAATATAGCTACACAAATTACAAAAAAAGAGCAATACATGTAAATAATTTTTCATTGATCTTCTCTCTGGTATTGAAAATAATGTATTTTTCCCCCAAGTCATTGATTTTTTCAGTTTTAACCAGACATCTCTTTCAGTTCCATACAAACATACATACATACATTCATACATACATATGTATATTTACACAAAAGCTCTTTACCGAAAAGGTGTAAGTTTGCTGTTCTTCCCTGTCCACTGGTTGAAGTAAGGTGAGGTAGCGAGTAATACCAGTCTGTGTGACGGTGAAGACTGAGGTGTAGTCATTCAGAAAAAGGTGAAGCTCTGGGTCTTTTGTCTTTGAAAAAAAATGACATCGTTTCAAACGTTGAATAAATAATGTAGCTATTAGTTCATTACCTAGAAGTTAATGTTTGAAATTTATAGCAAAAATCCACGTGAAAGTATTAAGAATTTCTAACGATAAAAGATATTTAACTAGATATTTACTCAAATGATCTAAACTATTCAAAAGATGGTGACCTATATCGTGGAATACAAAATACTGAAATACAAACAGGTATAATCAATGTGGGAAAAAAGGAAAAATAATAGAAAAACAGAAAGAATATAAAAACTCCCAATTAAATATATTCTTACTGATTATTTGTTATCAATATTTTCCAAAATAGCATTGGACTGGAGAAATAAGAAATAAAAGCAAGAAAAGAAAATTGCATTTCAAAATTTTAGCAATAAGACTTTATAATTACTTCATTTATAGTAATAAACTGCATATATACATATTACTATCTTGTTCTTACTTATAATGCAAAATAGAAATAAAATTGGTTATGTATTATTCATTACCTATAAATATCATGCTTACTCTTTCTTATTTTAATGCTGTAAAATTTTCCAAATGGAAACATGTTTACTTTAATTAAAATATTTCAGATAATTTGATTTAAAATATGCATAAATTTAGCAAATGTGTCTGATAGAAAAGTCTAGAAAAAATGATATATACTTAAAAAGGAAGGGATTTCAAAATTCAAGTCTGAGAGACAATCAACTTAGCATTGAAGACCCTTTGCAATTTCATTGCCACCCCTGAAACAGAAGACAACATACTCTAATTTAGAGAAAGAACAGCAATATAAAGTAAGAAGGCTAGCACTGATGTCTGCATAGTAGGAAAGAAAGGCAGGTGGAGCGAAGAAAAAAGGAATATTCAGAGAGTGGACTATTATGAAGGCTTTGAAAAAGAGAGAAAGGAGTGATACAGGGAGGTAAGGTGTTGTTCTAGATTATACTATCTTTTAAAGTATGCATAGCATGATATGAAATGGATTTAATATCATAAAACACTTCTTTAAGTCTGATGTCAAGGACTGAGGCAAGAGCAAAGAATAGAAAATTGTTAAATGTGTTTAATTTGAAAATAATAGAACTCATAATTTCAAAATTTCTATGTAAAATACAAAAGTTGTAATGCACACTACTATAATAAAATGTGAACATGATTTGATCCACAATATACTTGAATCTGCCCATCTTTTAAACATTGTGATATGTGTAGATTTCAAATAACCTTGAAATAAATGGTTTCATTTGAACCTAAAACAAGTTATGTATTCATAATATCTCATTCTGTAGTAGCTTCTATGTTCAGGATTTTGACTTAAGGTCACTGTGCTACATTTATCCTGGAACAATAAGAAAGTAATACTACACATAATAATTCCAACTGGCGTATTTATTATAAAATGATCAAAAATATTGAGAAAAAGTTCAAGAGGCTTCACACTCTGATATTTTCAAACAGGCACTTCAGTTGTTTCCATTTCAGTGTCATGAACCCAATTACTCAGATAACTAGAAAGCGGGATATTCTAAAAAATCTAACATGTTAGTTTTAAAAATAAATTATGTATTTTTAAAAGTCAATTAGAAAATGCATATGTCTATTCTGAATGATATTTTAAGCATTCTTATTTTACACTTTAGAGTGAATTGTGATTAAATTCAATTATTAGAGTTGATAAAAAAGTTTTAGTTAACATGCAGTTTCAGTCAAAGAAACTCTAAGTATGAATGTCTGCCATTTGTTTTGTGTTCATCCTGGATTTACCTAATCACTGGGCTTTTAAGCACATATACACTTCTCTAAATGCACCAACAATGGTGCCATCTGGCATGCCTTAATTTATTCGGACCTTTAAACCCTAAATGCAAGCTGAGGAAGTTTTGCTATGTACCTTGTTTACCAAATATTTACTTTGTTCCTTTTGTTCAAATCTCATCATTCTCTACTTCCTTTATACCTTAATTCTCTCAATTTATTTTCTTCCTTTCAACCGTAACCTCTGTTAATAAATTTGTTAGGTATATTCACTCATATCTTCACATTTTTAAGCATTTTTGTGTGTCAAGTATTTCGATAATGCAATATTTCAATAAGTATTGAGTTGTCAACTAGTGTGTCCAAATGTGACTGTAGTATAATATGTTTGTGTCACAAAGAGCACTTACTTTTTACCACTTTCAAGAAAACCTCTAGGTTTTGTTTGTCAAATGCTTTTCGTTTGAAGATAATGCACACATCAATACTCCATAAATAGACTTCCTTATATTGGATAAACAGAAACATTAAAGATCTTTTGTTAATTTAACTGTCTCAGTTTCTTGAGTGCTTTTATAATAACTAGCTGGAGAAAGATAACATTTCCCAGAACTACAGTGTATTTGCTTTTTGTGAAGAAGATAATCTATCACAGAAAGCTAGCACTATACATGGCATATTATAGCTCATTCTGTTTTGTTTAGTTAATCTCTGATCAAAATATAACATTTACATTTATGTATATTTAAAATAATAATCTTGTACATAAATGCTACTGGTAAATATCCTCGTATTAATTTAAGTAAAAAAATTTAGGAAGCCAGATTTGGAAATGTTCAACAAATTGTCACTCAATGTTTAATAATTTATATTCATTTTTAAAGATAGTGCAAGTTTCAAATGTTGTGTATATATTTATGTTCCAAATATTACAGCATATCATTTTATGAGTTTTATGAAAATTTTAAGTAATATCAACATAAAATGTTAATAGATACATATCAGTACCAACTAACCTATTGTTTTGATTGACAATATTTACAGTTCAAGGTTTTGCTACCCTTCACAAGAAAGGTGTATCAAAGGTTTGGTAAGAAACAATGTGCATTTGAAGTCAAATATCCTTCTCTAAATCTCTTTATAAACTTAAATTCCTTCTTGTCAAGCTGCATTCCGATACAGTTTGAATTTCACAAATATATTTGAATTTTGCAATTCCTAAAGAGTAACTTGAGTCAACACTTGTATATTTGCAACTCTTTTAATCATGTTAGAGTTAATAGCTTATAAGTTTCATAGACTAGGATGTACATGGACAAATAATGCTCTGGCTTAATATTCCAATAGGGGTAGCAGACTTTAGGTAGCTGTTGTGTCTATAAGTTTATTTAAAATGAATTTAAGTGTTAAATCAATAGGTACACAGAGAGTTGATTAAAAACCGTTAATTTTCCTCTGACATTAGGTAATATTTATTTTACCCTAAAATATCCAGTCAGTATATACCAAAAGTATGATATATTAATTCACTTATCTGCATATTATATTTTGAGATGGTAAAATAAGCTCTGACATGCACACATAAAAACAGAAAAAAATGCAAAAGTAAATGCATATGAAAACACACAGGTAAACAAACATATGAATATAAAATAAACAAGCATTCTATCATATAAAACTATGTTCAAAGATGAGAGTCTACTGTTTAAACACCAACTTGGGGTTTCTAATGGGAATAAATATAGGATATCACAAACACACAAGACCATATGCATGCACATATATAGGCACATACAACACAGACATGTATAGACATATGTGCACATATATATGTATGCATATACAAGAGCATACATATAAATGACAAAGCATAAGAGAAAAATGACAAAAAAATGTTATCTCCTCAGCCAGTTTTAATTACTTGGTAGTAGTTGCCTGAGTATTTAGTTCAAAAAAATTCAATTTCAAACTTACAATGTTTTAGAAAAAATGCCATGATAAATTACCAATGTTTGTTGTGGACTGAGAAAACATTAATAATTAAGCAGTCTTTGCCTCAGTTGACAATTAAATTTGGATTTTACAAAATTTCATAGTACTATAAACAATAGATTATGTAAATATTTTTACCTTTTTTAACTTTAAAATATTTTTAAATTTTAAACCAATGAAGTAAGTATATTTAAATTTATATAAAGTATTTGTAGATATCCTTATAAGGGATAATGAAGTAATACCTACGTGTTTTAGTGAAGAAAAAAAAGAACAAGGAAATAAACCACAGCAATTAACAAAAGAACAATCACAAGCTTAACACCTAGTACCTACAGGAACTCCACTGGGTGGAACCTATACGCAAATTAAACATGAAATAAATATTGTAAATGTAAATGATCACAACCGCACATATGAAGAAAAAGCAAACCACTTCCAGCACACTAGACTGACAATTTTTTTCAGAGTATACAATTTTTTTATTAGCATTGTGACCCACATATAATGGAATAACGATATTTATGAAGCATATAAATACTTAACTGCTTTATGAGTATATTGAATTAAATATCAAAGATACCTCTTCATAGTAAAATAACGTTAAGCAGAGAAACAAATTTACATGAAGTTATAAATAAGTATCTTTTTACAAGCCAAATGAGTAATCTTTATTGATTATTATTCTTTGTCATTTTTTATGATCAGCATTCAATAATCAATTTTTAGCATCTCTGACACTGAAAACCTGGTGGTCTCAGACATGCCTCTTAACACCTTGTGCCTTACCTATTCTACTTATATTATGGGTTATTTTGAAATTATGATGTGGTACAAGTACTCTAAAAGGCATAATGTATAAACTGATATGGTTCATATATGTATACATGCATGTGTATGTGTGTGTGTGTGTGTGTGTGTGTGTGTGTGTGTGTATGGGTATATGTCTACATCTATATAGCAATAAAAAGAACACTGGTGCAAATATTTCTTTTCCTTTCTTTTCAGTATTACTGTGGCCCTTGGAATTCTTTCTGACTTAAAATCTACACTGTGAATACTATCACAACTCACATTCCTGGCTATTGTTTCTTAAAATGTGGCTTCACTTTCCACTAAATTAAAGGGAGAAACACAACTTAAATTTTACGCAAATGGATCCAAACTTGTCCCCTTCTTGGCATTTACCATCTGGAATAGCTATGCTTGAAGCAACTCTTGAGAGCCAAGCCCTGCAATGACAACTTCCACTTTTATGCTTGAGGCTTAATCTCTAATACTATGCTGATATTGTATGAGGTGGCACACTGTCTCTCTCAAAGAGTTTATCCCTATAATGATGATTGTCACTAATTCTGACACTCAAAAGCAACAGGATTTTGTTTCATTTTGTTGAATTAGGGTCCCAATTTGTCATCTAGCCTGCAGTGCAGTGGTGCAATCATGGCTCACTGCAGCCTCGAACCAGTGGGCTCAAGGGATCCTTCTGCCTCAGCCTTTCAATTAGTGAGACTACAAGCATGAACCACCATGCCTGGCTAAGTTTTTTGTTTATTTTTGTAGAGACTGCATCTCCATATGTAGCCAAGGCTGGTCTGGAACTCCTGGCCTCAAGCCATCCTCCAGCCTCACTCTCCCAAAATGCTGAGATTATGAGTGAGCCACCACACCCAGCCAAGAGTGGCATGATTTACCTTGAAGTAAAATTCATGCCCATAAACTAAAATGGCTTTAAAGTTTTCTTTTCATAATACAGATCTTTTGAAAATCCCAGAAATGAACTAATTTACTTTATAAAAATAAATGGTGCTCGGTCTATAAAAAACAGATGTATCAGAAGGACATAAATCCATCTTCTAATATATGAATGACTATTTCATAGATTTATTTTGTGTGCTGGCAAATGGAAGATTTAAGGAATAATAGATGAATTAAAAGAAAACTGGTTTCAACTCAGTATGAAAAACAGCTTTCTAAGAATTAGAGTTGTTCAAACATGGGATAGGCCATCTTGTGAAATACTTAATGCAACATCATTAGCATCTTTGAAGCATCTGTTAGATAACCTAATTCATTCAATAGTGACTGAATTTATGAGTTTATTGAAGAGTTCCCAAACCCTATTAAGTGCTGGAAACTGTGTTAGTTCTTCAGCATACAAAAGTTGCTAAGATATAGGACCTATTCTCAACAGATGTAAACTCATGAGGGAGAAAGACATTATTTTCAAGTTGGAAGTATAGAATTAGAGAAATGCACTGAGGGAGGCATGCAACTAAAATTGGATAATGAATACCGTGGAAAGATTCTCGAATGAAGGAATGCCTGAGGTGAGCTCTAAACACTGAGTATAAGTTATCCAAGCCAGCCTGTGCAACAGATGAAAGATTTCAAAGCCTAGAACATGTAATGAGCAAACATTAGACAAGATGTAGCTTGGCACATGAAAGAAACGACAAGCAGTTGCCAAATGTTATAGGTGAATTAGGAAGTTTCCAAAACTCAGGCCACAAAAATGTTCAGGTATCAAGATACAGAAAATTGTGTGAGCTTAAATTTTCTTCTCTAGAGGAATAGGTGTCATAAAAGTATATCAAATAGAAATGTGGGCCAGACGCAGTGGCTCATGCCTGTAAACCCGAGCAAGGTGGGTGTATCACTTGAGGTCAGGAGTTCCAGACCAACCTGGCCAACATGGTGAAACACTGTCTCTACAAAAAATGCAAAAAAAAAAAAAAAAAAAATTAGCTAGGCATGGTGGTACAAGCCTGTAATCCCAGCTACTTAGGAGGCTGTTGTGGGAGAATCACTTGAGCCAGGGAGGCAGAGGTTGCAGTGAGCCTGGATTGTGACGCTGCACTCCAGCCTGGGTGACAGAGAGAAACTCTCTCAAAAGAAAGAAAAGCAAGGGAAAGAAAAAAAAGAAAAGAAAGAAGGAGAAGGAGGGGAAGGAAGGGACGGGGGGAAGGAAAGGAAGGGAGAGAGAAAGAAAAAAATAATGAACGGAGAGAAGGAAGGAAGGCAGGAAGGCAGGCAGGCAGAAGGAAAGAAGAAAGAAACAAAGGAAGGAAGGAAGAAAGAAAAAAAAAAAAGAAAGAAAGAAAGAGAAAGAGAAAGAAAGAAAGAAAAAGAAAGAAAGAAAGAAAAAGAAAGAGAAAGAAAGAAAGGAAAGAAGGAAGGAAGGAAAAAGAGAAAGAAAGGAGAGGGAGAGAGGGAGAGAGGAAGGAAGGATGTAGTTAGATGTTAGATTTGAGCTTTTGAATAAATCACTCTAATGGCCCTGCAGAAGATAGACTTGAGTAAGAAATCAAGAGACCAAGAACATCAGGAAGTAATTCTAATAACAGACCAATAGGGTGGTGGTTATAAGGATAGAGAGAAGAAAAGAGATTAAATAAATAATTAGGGGACAAAATAGGAAGATCTGGAAGATTTCTTAGTTGTGGCGAATAAAGAAAACATAAAAATCAAGCAAGACTTCTAGGATTCTAGGTTGCATAGCACAATAAAACATCTATCAATTTCTGGGAAATGGGTTTTAGGAGAGGATTTCATACAGTACTGGAAGTTTAAACTATTTCTAATATTCTATGAGCTTATTTATATTTTATATATAGAAACTACATATGATATTTTTAAAAATTTTATTACTAGAAGACTAGGCATACTTGTTCACTCTCTGGACACCTAATGACAGTCACTCACCATAGATTATTTTAGAAAGGGGGTGAGTCTAAGTAATAAACAAATGATCAGTTTTGCTGATTAATTACTTGACACTTTTATAAAAGTTATGAAGCATGCCACCCTCCATGTACATGGCATCATCTCAGGGAAATTTTCTCTCCATGCCCTTTCCTACCAGTCCCAACTAAAGACACATACCAAGGCAGCAATGATTGCTACCATATAGATGACTGGACAAGAGGGGGCACCTGATGAGTATGAAACTCACAATGTTATACAGCTATTACATGACAGAACCAGGAGTCAAGCCAAGATCTGTCTAAATCCAAAGCCCAAACTGCCAAAAACACTTCAGAGCATTTCATAGACTAACTGGTACTGTACATCTCCAAGAGTTGAATTATAAGTAGTGTTTCTCAAAGGTTTTAGACCCCTGAGCTCTCTCCACTTTATTTCATCAATGCCCTGTGAGTACTACTGTCTTTTACAAAGTTCCTTGGAACACAATTTTAACATTTGTAATTTAAAAGTGAACAGACAATCCAGACAAGTACGGGGTCACATAGGCAAGCATAGGGCTTAGTGTGTAACCAATAGATAATATGAACACACTGAGAAGGTATAAATACATAAATTTTGCTATTGTGTAAACTTAAAACTACCTAACTTTAGATTTAGATTTTTCTAACCACCAGTTCTATTAAGGTATGACCTAAGCTATCATACACTTTCAAATTGATTAGTCACTACTTAAAATATGAGTATGTATTCAATTGAAAAGCAAAATCCGCACTAAAATTTGTGGGACATTAGTAGATCTACAAAATACATTTGCTCAGCCTGGATTGAAGTTATTAAGGTGACTCTAGGTGTTTTCTAGTGGGGATTCAGTAGAGACTTTTTTCCTGTGACTCATGAAACCCACTATACATCAGAGAATCCCTAAATTCTCTTGACTGGCATATGAAACTGTGTATAGATTAATGTGTTCACTTTTCTAGGAAAAGAACCTAGAGCATTCTTCAGCTATCATTATAGTCAGACTATGATCAAAGTATATAAAATATAGAGTGCTTAAAATTGAGAACTTTGTTTTCCATAAACCTTGGCTTAAGGTCCATTTCTACTGTTTACTAACACTGTGATCATGGTAAGGCATTTAAACTAGCTTTAATATCCCTTTCTGAAATAGGGATAATTGCATCTATCATGTTTGTTGTGAGATTTAAGGGAATTAATGCAAGAAGAATTTACTGTATTGTTTGACATGTACTGAGAACTCAATGACAGATATTGTTAAAACTTGTGGTTTAAGAAGACACTAAATGTGAGAGACCAGGAAAGATTGAAAAAAAAAAAAAAGCTAGAATGGAAAAAGAAAACAAAGCAAAGAGAAACAAAAGAATAAAATAAAGCATCTGGTGGGAAGAGGTGGAGTGCCAACAAGAATTGTCATAGCCTCTGTGGAGTGTTACAAAATTTATTTAGAAAGAGAAAAAAAATCTGAAAGTGCCTTCCTAATTTCCTGAAGTGATTATAAAGCTATGTGTAATGAGATATTAGGGAACATTCTAGAGCTCTGCTGCCTTATGAGTGACATGTATTTATATTTAATTTCATTAATATTAAGCAAAATTTAAAAGTTATGTTTTTAGTCCAGTTAAATTTTAAGTACTCAATAGCTGTATAAGACTAGTGGCTACTATGTTGGACAGTACAGTTACACAGTAATTCCATCATCACAAAAAAATCCATCTATCTGAGAGCAAGCACTGTTAAGGGAGAAATGAATGAATCAAGAATTATATAACAGCAAGTAAGAAATCCAACTATCTTTTACATATAGTTATGCTTATAATCCAAACACAGTTGTATTTACTTGCTGTTTTATATATATGTGTGTGTGTGTGTGTGTATGTATACCTGTGTATATATCTCTATCTATCTATCTATCTATCTATCTATCTATCTATCTATATCTGTATGTGTATGTATACCTGTGTATATGTCTATCTATCTATCTATCTATATATATACACAAAACATATGTATACATATTTATGCAGTGAGGATACTGTGGTAGTTCACAAACTCAAAGGAAAATCTTTGGGAATTAGAATACCTCTGGGGAACTTAAAACTTAAAAGACAGGCACTCAATGGGACTCTCTTTTCTGTGTGTATCTCTCAGGCTTCATTCTCTCCCACTGATAATTGGCTTTCTCATGATGTCAGCAAATGTGGCTACAAAGGTTTCAGATTCATTTCCACTTCTCTAATACATGATACCAAAGTCTTTCAGCCCTTCTGTTCTCCATTGTAAATTCCTGGGAGGATTCTGGCTAGCCTGGTATAGATTTTCTGTCCCTTTATAACATTCACTCTGGCTAAGGAGGTAAAGTGTTCTGATTTGCTCAGCCTGGACCATTTCCCACTCATGTAGATAGTGTGAGTACAAGAAAAACAAAAGACAATGATTTGTGGAGTGAAGCGTAAGCATCCACATAGTCACTGGCAGAAGTATGAATGGGTCAGCTGCCTCAAATATATTTTAATAACGATGCCCTCAGACTTGAAGAAAAGTCTCTGAGAATCACAATCTAGGGGTGCTTTCATGATTTTTTACTCATGTAGTAACACCATTATTTTTGCTTTATCAATAATTATATAAAACAGTTCTCAACATATGTTAATAAAAATATTGCCCTCGTCATTAAATAAACATCAAGTAAAACATTCATTTTCTTACATATACTGAATATCTGCAAGCTGAAAAGGAATAGTTATTGAATTCAAAGATACTTTTTAAAATATCCTTGTTTTGGAATTAAATTATAACACTAAAACTCACTTACAGTGACTTAATTCTCTCTTCTCTAGCTTATGTAGCCATATCTTTGTCATATTTCCCATTAATGGAAATATGAGATTTGTTACACAAACAAGAGCAAAATATGTATTTAACTTACATCTTCTATGTCCTTGTCCAGAGCTACTATTCTTAAAGGTGAAGTCAAATTGAGACTGTCCGAAATGGTTGCTCCCACTGGGGCAGATTCCAGGATATAGCCTTGATAACTGGGCATTGTAAAATATGGACTTTGATTGTTTTCATCCAGTATTTCAATGTGTAGACCGGCAAAGGCAGGAAGAGGATGACCATTGTCTTGTTCAGCCTAAAATTGAAAAGAAAAGAAAATATTTAGAAAGTATATGTCGTGCTATCTTTTTGGAGTTTCACTTTTCATGCAATATATAGGGTTCTCTTTTTAACTAATATCATCACATAAGGAAAAAATACGTTAAAGGGCCATTTGAAAATATAAATGAGGAAATGAAAATCCAGTGAGGCTTAATTGCTTCAGTCTTCTGTTTTAAAACTCAGTGTATATTTTAAAAATTCACTGTAATAAATTATTATTATTTTATTTTATGTTTTTATTTTTTGAGACAGAGTCTTGCTCTGTCGCCCAGGCTGGAGTGCAGTGGAGTGAACTCGGCTCACTGCCAGCTCTTCCTCCTGAGTTCACGCCATTCTCCTGCCTCAGCCTCCCAAGTAGCTGGGACTACAGGCGCCCACCACCACGCATGGCTAATGTTTTGTATTTTTAGTAGAGACAGGGTTTCACCGTGTTAGCCAGGATGCTCTCGATCTCCTGACCTCGTGATCCGCCCGCCTCAGCCTCCCAAAGTGCTGGGATTACAGGCGTGAGCCACCGCGCCCAGCCAAATTATTGTAATTTTTATTGAATGCAGTAGGAGAGGTAATTGTGTTTAAATACATTTAGTCAGAAAATTCAAATGGAGATACTTGAGTGTACCGCTGATAAAATATTTAAATAAAAGAAAAAAAGTAACACAAATAAAGAACTATCGTATCGACTTTGTCTCTTCTGTGTCTTCTCATTTTACACTAATGTTTAAATCTCTGCTATGGTCTCTGCTGTTGTACCCCCCAAATTCGTAAGTTGAAATTTTAACCCCAAAGGTGATGGTATTAAGAGGTGTGGCATTTGGAAGGTGATAAGGTGGTGAGGGCAGAGCCCTCATTAATGGGGTGAATGCCCTTATAGAAAAGGGTCTAGAGGGCTCCTTTTCCCCGCCTCCCACCACGTGAGAACAAGTAAGAAGGTGGAACCACCCTCTGTGAGGAAGTGGGCCCTCACTAGAAACCAAATTTACAAGAGTCGAATGTCCAGCCTCCACGACTGTGAGAAATAAATGTTCCTTGTTTATAAGCCATCCAGTTTATGGTGTTTTGTTATTGCAGCTCAAAGAAACGTAGACAATTCCCAAATAATTCGTAATTCTATATAAAATTAATAAAGTTATATTTATTGCCCACTGACCGTCCCCAAAAGCTTCTTAAAAAGGACAGAAATAATAAATTTCATTGTAATGTTGTAGAAACTGTGAATTGCAATATTATTTAACTAGAAATGTTTTTCAAGTAAAATTAATATTCTTATGTATAAATTTTCTTTTTTTTCTCCCATTAAGTTTAAGAAGTTGATAAAAATTTCTGTTTCTAACACATTTTCATACAAAATCTCTACATGGTCATGCTGCACATAGGAAAATACTAACCATAGATTTTCTGTTTTTTAAAAAATATATATTTTATTATATGTGTATTGGAAGGTTTAATTTAAAGGAAGATTTCATCACAATTGACTTCTGGAAAATCTCCTCCAACTTTTATGAGAAAACATGGATATAATTTAATAGCATATACATTTATTAAAATGAATTCAAATTCTATCTTTAATTTTTGTTATGTTTTCCCCATTGGGAGAAAAGTTGTATTTTTAAATCAATTAAAATGAAAATAAAATATTTGATATTAAACTCTGGTGTGATTTTCTAGATAGATAGTGACAGTACTTTGTAAGTAGCTCAGCTAGAGATCTCTAACTGTTAAAACGTGAGGAAAGAAATTTGGTCTCCAGAAGACAATTTTTCACTTCCTTCTAATAGTAATTTAACATTTTCATCTGTTAAAAAGGTAGGTAACAAACTACAGTGATATTGGTAGGGATTGCTGACTTTTCACCAAGAAATATTACAATATATTTTCCTTCATATTATTTATATTGAAGATTTGTTGAAATATTATTTATGTCAATTACTAATGTGAAATTATGCTAATTAATAAACCCATAGGGAGGTAATGTCATATAATGCATTGATTAAAAAACTTATATTTGATTTTTAATATATTGATATCTCTATTTAGATAATATGCTAGATTTTCTTAGTAATATTACATAGTTTACCTTATGCATTTAACTTTTCATTTGGCAGCAGAATGTCAAATTAGCCCATGGCACAAAACGCTTTAAGATCCTGCTCAGCACTAAGAAGAACAGTACTGGAATAATGTTTGGTCCTGTCTGGGATTATGTATCCATCTCACATAACCAGGCATGCTGCTAATACCATCAGTATGGATGAGGTCTTTCTGCATCCAGCAGTTGTGATTAATTTGTGCCGAGCGATGGATGTTCTTTTAGGAGTTACCCCTGTGACACACATCAGGCTTTCTGGAGACAGCTGACCAGGGCAAGAGGTAGAGTCTACGCCTGGAAAACATTGTTTTTTCACTGTTTAAAACTAATTGGTCCATATGGGCTTCCAACCCAATGACCTTGAAATGATTTAAGCAGGAATCCTCTGCTTCACTCTTACAGGCTCAGAGCAGTTCATACATGCAAGGCATTTTGAACAGATTTTTTTCTCTCTTTCTTGTATCTCTCCATCTTTCTTTAATATCTAATTATTCTTTTTTTTTTTTTTTTTTTTTTTTGAGACAAAGTCTCGCTCTGTCGCCCAGGCTGGAGTGCAGTGGCGGGATCTCGGCTCACTGCAAGCTCCGCCTCCCGGGTTCACGCCATTCTCCTGCCTCAGCCTCCCAAGTAGTTGGGACTACAGGCGCCCGCCACTACGCCCGGCTAATTTTTTGTATTTTTAGTAGAGACGGGGTTTCACCGTTTTAGCCGGGATGGTCTCGATCTCCTGACCTCGTGATCCGCCCGCCTCGGCCTCCCAAAGTGCTGGGATTACAGGCGTGAGCCAATAACCAGCATGTCATATCCAGGACATAAAAATGCTATGAAAAGTCATAAATTCTACAACTTTTCCTCTTTCCCCGATGAACACACCCAAACACACACAATATATAGGTGGTGAGGAGGATGAAAAAAGCAAAATTGTATAATAATGAAATAAGCTTACATTTTACATTCAGATCATATATCATTAGTTTTTACCAGCAGCTGTGAAGCCAGTAAAAATATGTATTATTTGCATGATGAAAACAAAGTGATTCAATGAAAAGAGAAATAAAATTCAAATCAGATCTATGAAGATAATCTAATTCTTAACTTCCTCATATCTATAAAAATTACATATAAAGGCTCTGCCCATTTTTACTCTAATATTAATTTAGAGTTAATAATGATTAATATTTTTGGATTGCTACTATGTATTTTGTTCTATTTGAGGTGTTTCAATTTGCTGACCAGATATCTGTCTCCAAAGCCCACTTTCTTTATGCCATTTATCTGTCCAGATGTGAAAATGTGTATTTTTGAACTGATGGAAAAAAAGAAAGGTTAGTTTTATATTCAAGGCCACATAGGCTGTAAGTTACATACAGAACATGGGCCCAGACTCAGGTCTCCTGATTTTTAAGAGGCTACACAGGAAGATTCATCATATGTTTCTCAAATTTACAGAATGCAAATGAATATCGAAAAGCAAGAGAGATGGGACAAATTAACAGTAGGAAAAAATATTGAGATAAATACTTCTGTTAAGTAAGAGTTAAAATGTTGAATTTAAACAACAACAACAACAATAATAATAATAATAATAATAATAATATACTTTGCTCGTTAGTGGGCCCATGCATCAAAACTCTGATACAATTATCTTTTCTTCCATACAATATAAATAAGGGTTCTCAAAAATCTGAATTATTCTGTTCCCCTGAAATCCGTGGTGGATGAAATGAGAAATATTTTAAAAACACCTCAGTTGGAATAAGGTGGTATTTTAAAAATCATTTACTTTCATAAGGTAACCTTATTTATATTTACAGAGTCTATAGTTACGAGTTAAACATTATATTTAAGTGCTAGGTTTTGTTTGAAAAGCGTCTGGGCATGAGTCTCACTTTCAGTAACGAGACCAAAGTAAAACTGAAGCCAAAAAAAATGAAGTATAAAAAGCACACCATTTTGTTACTTTGGAAGGCAAAACATTGAAAAAGACAAACCACTCCATCTTCAATATTGAAAAAAGGAAATACTGATAATTTCTGAGCACCTTGTAACGGAGGACTGAGACTACAGAATAACTTTGTTCTTCCTAACTGGTGGCAAACAATTTAACAATTTCATAATCTCTAATATGAAACCTTTCAAGTAGATTCAACAATTTAAAAAAGACAATGGTAAAGCTTATCAAATTATTTATCATTTAAATAAATTCTAGGATAGAAGAAAGAAATCATGTTTTCCAGGAATTATTTATTGTGCATCTACAGAGCCCACTTTTTTTTTTTTTTTTTTTTTGTATTTTAAATTCTGGGATACATGTGCAGAATGTGCAGGTTTGTTACGTACGCATACACGTCCCATGGTGGTTTGCTGTGCCCATCAACCAGTCATCTACATTAGGTATTTCTCCTAATGCTATCCCTCCCTAGGCCCCCACCCTCGACAGGCCCCGGTGTGTGATGTTCCCCTCCCTGTGTCCATATGTTCTTATTGCTCAACTCCCACTTCTTAGATCGCAAGTGCTCACCTTCATCTGTATTCACCCTCCCAAGTTTTCTTAAACCCACTTCAATCATACTTTTGCCTCAGCCACTCAAAGCCAGCTGCTTTTGTCAAAATCACCGGTGCCTTTTACATTGCTAAAAGCAATATTTATTTTCAGTCCTTATCTTACTTGACCTATCTTCAGCATTATTCACTATCCTTTCACGGCAACAGCTTCTCGGTTCTCTTCCTATTTTACTACCCATTTTTTCTCATTCTCGTTTGGTGGTTTCCCCTTTTCTCCCCTACTTAATTTTGGAGTGGCCCAGAAGTGAGGAGTTATTCATCTTTTCTTTATACTCACTCCCTTGCTCAATCTAGTCTAATCTCACACCTTAAAAATGTCAGTACTATTATGACTCCTAATTTCAATCTCCAACCTGGATTTCTCCTTTGAATTCCACAGTCCATATCCAACTGTGTACTTCGTAACACTGCGTAAGTATCTAACAGACGTTTCAGATATAAATACCTGCAACAATGAAATTCTGATTACCCTGCACGAACCTCCTCCACTCATGGTCTTTTCCACTTCTTTAATGGCAGCTACATAGTTACAGGTACCGAAAACAAGAAACTTGGAGGCACCTCTTGCTTCAGTGGATAGATATGGAAAAAGTGAAAACCACTTTTTTGAAAATTGAATTTGAAGTTCCATCTTCTCATTTCACAATACAGTATTAGCAGATTATATATGCCAAGAAATATTCTATGTTAGTAAACTTGAGATGAAAAAATACTCTTATGTCAATGTAGTGAATTATGGTCTTATCCTACTGAAGCATTAAAGGTAAATATTGCAATTTTCAAAGTTAAGGTAATACCACATTTTAATTTGGATAATATTATAAATTTATGAAATATTTTTCTATATTTATAATATGTAAAAATAGAAATATAATCATATTGCTTGTATAGTAAATTCCACTGTTCTATGCTATTGTAAACCTAAACCTTTCTTGTAATTAGTCTGAATCTCATTTTTCATTAGATTTTTAAATTCCATGAGCATAAACACTGTAAATGTATCAGTTTCATTCACTGCTAAAATTTCGGACAATCCCTGGTATATGGAAGAAGGTCAAATATATATTTATTTTTACTTTTCTGTATCTTTAATTTTAATAGGCTTTAAATATTTTTTTAAAAATTAAGTGATTGTGACATCATTCTAATTCCCATTCGATAGATATTTATGGATGTTTTTCCAGTGTGTGTGTGTGAACGTACACGAAGTGGAAATTAATTAATGTGAATGTACAACATGAACACCTTAGATTATAGAATGTCTTTATTCACACATTTTAAAGGTTTGTGATATCTGCAAGTTTACCTATGGGTAATTAATACTGATGCACATTCTTGCCAGTCTTATGAATGGGCCTCACCCAGCCCCCTCAATCATCAATTATGATTCTATATCTATAGGGATGGTGCTGTGAACAGAATAACGTATAATCTTCTAGAAGGTTTATGCATTTACATGTAATATTTATGCAAAAAGGCCTATTTATATGCATTTTTGAATGGACAGTGGCTTAAAGAATGAGATGTTAGTTGTGACTTTGCTCTTAACACATGGCTTAGATACATTTTATTGTCAGAATGGTGCAAATTGAGGACTTTAGCATGATTTTGACTGTGTGTACTCTTCCAGTCCACTCAACACATTTTAATTTATTAATTTAATTTACTTGCTTTACTTACTGAACTATAGCTTTTAATACCTAGTTCTTAGAACCTGCTTGGCCAATTTTCGCAAACATTAGATATCTTAGGAAGAGAAAAAAAAAAGAGGGAGGGAGGAAGAAAAAGAGGGAATAAAGGATGGATAGAGGGAGTGGGTAAGGAAAACAAATGGCATTCTCCTTTCACCAGAGGTAAGGGACAGATAAATGTTAAAAATCATGGCAACCACACAAGGCAATCATTCTCAAACTCTGATGTACCTAAGAATAGAATGGAAGGCCTAATAAAAAGCAGATTCCCTGGGCCAGGCGCAGTGTCTCACGCCTGTAATCCTAACACTTTGGGAGGCTGAGGCAGGTGGATCACCAGAGGTCGGGAGTTCGAGACCAGCCTGACCAATGTAGAGAAACCCTGTGTCTACTAAAAATACACAATTAGCCGGGCATGGCGCTGCATGCCTGTAATGCCAGCTACTCGGGAGGCTGAGGCAGAAGAATCGCTTGAACCCGGGAGGCAGAGGTTGCAGTGAGCCAAGATTGCGCCACTACATTCCAGCCTGAGCAACAAGAGCGAAACCCCACCTCAAAAAAAAAAAAAAAAAAAGTAGTTTCCCACACCCTATCCACAAAGATTCTCGTTCATATGTTGATGTTAGAGGCAAGGAATCTCCATTTTTATCAAACTGTCTGTGGTGGTTATAATGTGAGCAGAATGTACTTTCACAGACATTATTCTGGGTGTGGCTACTCAAACTCCAATTTTTAGAGAATCTTTCTTTTTAGCCCTATTGGTTAGGGCTATTGGTTAGCCCTATTGGTTAGTGGACCAGTCTTTACTAATGGATAGTCCTTATAATCTGGAGCAAAAACTCCAGATAATACAGTGCATCCAAGAGCCAATGTTGTCACGCCAGAAGATTTGGAGTCTAGTAACTGAAACTGCATGCAATTATACAATTATCAACTGTGTAGGTTCAACACCACTAAAATTGTCATGTGACTCTAGCATTACCAAAGATTGCTCGTGTGTCAGTGGGAATACTCTACAAGTAATAAGCTCAGTCTTAGCTAGTATTCATAGGTCATGGTCAAATCCTCTTGACATTCCATTATTCATAATTAATTAGAATTTAGGTATGTTGGTGTATGTGTGCACGTATGCCTGTGTATACACAGTATCAATATAGTTTTGGGTGTAAGCCACCACTTTTACTTTATCATTTTTAAATAAAGGAACCTCAGATTGAGAAAAAAAGCAGAGAGAAGGTAATTTGACATACAGAAAGTTTTTGGTTTCTAGTCAGAGTCAGAGAAAGACAAACGCATATAGAATGTACCCGGAAGGCAGATAATGACAACATTCTGAGTAATAGTATATTCCTGTTGCTAGTGACTAAACATAGGATATAAGGCTACTATGTAATTCAAAATTTTCTTCTTCCTGTGTTCCCTTCCTGGACACCACACCTCTTGCTAAACAGCTCTTCAGTAAAGCCTTCAATATACAAGGGTGTAATTTTTCCAAGTTTCTTCACCCAGCAAGGTGCAGGCTGCATATTGATCTTTATATGAGGATGATTCTGAAAAACGGGCAAATTGACCGAACTACCAATGATTCACGCATATCCCTTTATTCCTTTATTTTCAATTTTAAATTCAACTCTCAAGTAGACAAAGAAGATTGTTTGCTTTGGTTAATTTTGCTGGAGGGCTAAATTATATATCCTGTCTTTCTTTATGGATAGAAATTGCATTTGCTTAACATTTTAAAAATCACTTTAGACAGTTAAAATATGTTTACTTAAGCTTTCAACCAATTTATTTTTTGGCAATAACAATATTATTAGTGTATAACCTTCAAATAGCCTGACATTTGGACATGTTTGTCTTGGGATTCAAACGTGAATTACTTGTACTTTTATTTTGAAATCAAAATGTTAATAAAAGTCTCAGATTTTTCTTTAGCAGACAATTCATTGCCATTGAATTTTTTCACAGGTGGAAAGTATATGGTTGTGGAACATATACATCCTGAGTTGGTTACAGTACAGAAAAATAGAAGGAATCATAAAACTCTTAAGAATCTGATTAAAAACATCAACATTTAATCCAATTATAAAGTGTTGCAAAAAAAAAAAGAGAAAAGTAATCTATGCTGTTAGAATCCTATAGTGGAAGTTTGTGGTTGTGTCAGGTGGAGGTAAGGTGATTAGTGACTAGGAGGAGGTGTAGGAGGCGTATGGGATGTTTGTAGCATCTTTTTTTAACAAAAATCTGGTTGTTAGTTACATGATTAACTTCACTCTGTGAAAATTCATCAAGATATACACTTTCCTGTATGTCAGCAGCATGTCAGCATTTCAATAAAAATGTTACTAAAAAAATAAGCTATGAACTTGCTCCCCAAAAAAGTGTACATAGACTATCCCTTCCTCTCCTATCACAGTAAACTAGGATACGGGCGCTCAAGTCCAAGTGGTAATTTAATAGCAGCTGCCCTAGGAAGTGACATGGAAAACCAACATTATGAAGATACGTGAAAATTAAAGATGCTCCCCTCTTCAACCATCTGTGTTCATTAAAGATGGACCCCAAAAGTAAACTTGGCCTTTTGCACTTTCCCACTAAGTGTTTCCCAAATACTGTGGTTTCCAAAGCCCTGCTTCTTATCTGCTGCCTTAAAATAATCTAAGGTAATTGTTAAAGCAAATTCCCAGGGGCTCAACCAAAATATCTGACATGTATCTGCTGTATTGCTTATTTGTTTTCTTTATTAGTTTAATTTTATCATATCTTCCTAAGTTTTCAAGTAATTTTAATATATGACTTGCTCTCAAAATTTAGCATCCGAAAATCACATGTAAATCTTGATTCTGTAGGGAGAGCCCTGAAGTCTGCCTTTCCAAAACAGCCACATCCCCTGGTCCTGGATATGTAGAATCAGTAGTCGTTTGGGATCAGTTGGATCAGGCATTTTAGCTTCTCTCACACAGGCTTATAGGTAGCTGTTACACTAAAAAAGCCTAGGGTGAGCAGCTGAGGCCAACTCTGTTCTAGCCTTTTATGTAAGTCATTATCACTCTTCTTCACTTTCAGCAAAGTCTCTTAATTTGGACTTAGTTGGAAACTGAATGGAAGGAATTCATTTATGTAAGGGAATTCTCTGTAGGATCCTGCAGCTCACTGAAGCTCTACAAAAGCTATAGGTCCAAAGCAACAGTAATTGGTAACAGGTTATCAGGTTATATTTCCTTTGTGTGTGTGTGTGTGTGTGTGTGTGTGTGTGTGTAAAATGTCTTAGGGAGGGATGACTGTGAATAACCTGTGCTCCATGAATCAATGAACATATTATCAACTGACTAAAAATTATTAGGTTTTTGCCATTAAAAGTAATGGCAAACACCACAATTATGTTTGCATCATCCTAATAAAAATAAGAATATCCCATTGATTCTTGACCCTACTTATAAAATTAACTGCCTTAAAACCTACAGGAGCCTCCTTTTATTCAAAATTTAATACTCTAAAAATTAAAGGATGCATATACAGTTTGACTTTAAGCCAATTTATTACTATTACTAAACATACTCAAAAACTTATAAATAAATTCAAAAACCTATAAAATTCATGAGATAAAATACAAATAACTGTTGTATGCTGTAAAGTTTGTTTGCAAGGCTATACAGCAAAAGAGTATATTCTTGGTTGGAAACAAATACCTTTTTTTGTATGACAAAAAGGAAAAGAAACTTCACTAGATAGAATATAGGCAGCACATATTTTATAAAGCCTTGTAATATAACGACGAAATAATACTGACACATTTCACACCTAGGGAATATTTTTAATAAAACGAAATACTTTCTATCTTCACTTCAAGTAAGAATATGCCCATTCTGTTTATAACTTGTTACAACGAACACATGAATCCTCAAAGCTCTTGTATACCTTTCAATGATAAAAATCTTTCTTTTTGCTTAGAGCATGAGATACAAATCGACACTGGAATGACTAAAAGGATTTTGAATGATTTAAAGAAAAAATAACCTTGCCACTCTGGGGAAGACCACAGATTCTGAAAACTCTCACTTATCACCGACATGTTGAACTATTTAGCTGGTGTTTGGAACGTGAGAATCATCTTGGGTATAAACAGCAAGGTCAGCCAGATATAAAATTCTGATAGTGATAAAGGGGTAACTTTTTTTCTGTGAATCTTCCAACTTATGTTTTATTTTTATTATTTTATCCTGCCTTTTGCCTTCCAACCAGCAAAGCCATCTTATCCTACACTGAGGTCTGATCCCATTCCCAGTTTTTTGTCAACCAAGAGAAAACCACACTAAAGTACCTTCTATGAATTAGCCAACCAGAATAATGTATTTTGTAATAAGCAAATTTTAAAAAATCATTAACATAAAAATTATATCTAAATCGTTTATTTTTCAGAGCCTAGAAGGTATTGAGGGTGAGAGGTCAATATTTCTCCTCCACCTACTGGACCGTTCTTGAGACAAAAAATAACAAAGAGTTTTAGCCTACAAGTTTTTCAATATGCTCTTTCATTGTTATATTTCTATGGAACCAAGAAACCTATGAAGAACGATTACTCGGGAACATATGTGATAGAGTGCTAAGGATGTTTATGTGTGTGGGGATTGCAGAGTGGGGAGACGTGACAAGGGTTCAGAAAGTGCCTTTCCTTTGAACATTTTACAATGTTTGGTCTTGCTCTTGTACTCTTACAATGACCTTTGCAGACAAGAAGGCCTTGGCAAAAAGCAAGGTACTCTGATGAGAATGGATAAATTGCCTTTCTTCTTCCCAAGCAGTTACAGGTCACCTTGTGAGGAAGAAAAAAGGCCAAATAAAATGTCACCTCTGTGTGTCTTTTGTCAGTTTGTGCTTTTTGACAGCCACTATATTCAACTGCTACATTCTATTTCTGTTCTAACACTGCTGCATGAATAACGATATGAGACAAGAGGACATCATACTTCCTTTCCTTTTATTAGCTTCCATAATTGGCATAATAGTTAATTAATTTAGGCCAGTACTTAGAATTGTTAGAGACAAACCAGTGGAAAATAAAAACACACGGTGTTCTTTCTGAAGAAACACAAATACTGTTTTGTTTTGTGTGTGTGTGTATGTGTGTGTGTGTGTGTGTGTGTGTGTGTGTTTTGGTATTATTTATTATTTCCTAGTAATGGTAGTGTTGCTCTTCGGCAATATTTTTGCTTTGATTAAACTTAACTCATTAAAACAAAAGTTGTAAAAGGTAAAGTTTTTAGACTGACTTCTTTTTGAGCTTCTACATCCTCTGTGATGTATCTCAGTATGTTATCTGAGTCAAATTGTTGCTGTTCTCATGATGTGTTGTTGGATATGGTATCAGGCACCCTGTGGAGGAACTCTCTGGTGGGAGGTGGTGTACAACGTCACACTGTAGCAGAAAACCTGAAGGATACTCTTAGCTGCCTTCTCTGGCATTTGATCCCTTAGTTCTATCCAAGTGTATCACTTTATCCTTAGGCAGATTAAATTTCATATTATACCTCTGAGCTCATTTACTTACTCTGTTACACTTAAGGTAAAACAGATATAGTCATTTGTCTTAACCATTCCCTCTTATTTAGTGATATGTTCAAATTTCCTAACATAAAGGCTTTTCTTCATCATTAATTAGAAGCATTAGTGATCTTATATAGAGAGTCTCGTGGAATATAGTTTTCTCCCAAATTCTTCTTGGCCCTCCATTTTTAAGCCAGTTGATAACATCCCCTTTTGTTAGTTGGATGCTATGACATATCATGACAAAAATTATGCTTTGTGTGGCAATCTGCTAAGTTTAAAAAAAAGGAGAACACAAAATTAAAATACGAACACTTAGTGTATCAAAGGTCAATTGATTTCAGAAATTGTAATATTTGTTGGAAATTCATGGAAAGATTGCTATTTCATTACTAATAACAAGTAATGCCTGAAATTTCTGTGGGGTGATTTTCTCTAAAATGTGTAAGAGATATTTACTTTGCCTTACCTTAGAGACCTGGCTATTGGGGTAGAAAAGATAAACTTATTATATTATTTAGTAACCTACTGAACTGAGGTGTGGTGTGCAATGGACTTAATATTTGTATCTCTCCAAATTCATATGTTGAAATCCTAATCCACAATGTAATGCAATTAGGAGAGGTAATTAAGTCATGAGAATAGAGGTCTCATAAAAGTAGTTAGTGTCCTTACAAAAGGTACCCCAGAAAGCTCTCTCACCCTCTCACCCTCTCATCCTCTCATCCTCTTTCCACCAAGTGAAGATACAAACAGAATTTGGCAATCTGCAACCCAGAAAAGGAACCTAACTAGAACCCGACCATATTGAGTATGAAATTCCAGCCTCCGGAAGAGTGAGAAATATATTTCTGTTGTTTATAATCCACCCAGTCTTTTGTACTTTGTTAGAGTGGCCTGAACTGACTAGTACGTGTCTGTGTGTGTGTGCGTGTGCGTGTGCATGTGTGTTTGTGTGTGTTTCATTCTTGCCATAAGAATAAGAGTAGGAATATATTGCTAGAATATTTCCAGATATAGAAGATATGTCATTTGTAGCATTTGTCTTCCTTCTTGTAGCTTGGCAATAGCAGCCCTGATGTTTTTTCTCTTGTCCTAACTCTGGGTCACTATGGACCCTGTTCAACCTCACCTTAAAGGAGTGCCAATCGTTTCCATCTCTTGTCTTTTTTTTTCCTCTCTCTCTCTCTTTTGTTTGAAAACTGATGATATACACATTAGAGTAGAAAGAATATAACTTATATTTCACATCTCCATAACAGATTTAATTAATTTTATTAGCTTTTTCATTTTCACGGTAGGTTCCATCTTTTTCATTTTGAGAAGTGATGACTGATGATCTTTGACTTGCTACTCTGCCTGACTTAGACACCTGTGATCTTTCAACTTGACAACATCTCTGTGGGAAATTCAGGTAGGGGGCAAATTGTAAATTGGCTTGAAGGCAACATGCAGCAGCATGATCTATTTTTTGTTGTTTTAGCGATACTCTGTTGGCAGTGTGAAAAGATGGACAAGATGCACAGAAATGAAGCATGATTTTAGAGACTGCTTGTGTAAGATCATGGGCCAAGAGAATGCGAAATAAAGAATTGCAGTAGATGAGCAGAGTTGAGATATTCAAGAGGATTTCAAAGGTATCAGGAAGGGATTCTATGAGTGACTGAGTGGGAACATACGAGAGAAGAGACCTTTGAGGAAGTGGAAGTGTCTAGCTTGAGTGGGTGACCAACTAAAATATGATTAACTGAAAAAGGGAATAGAAAATAGAAGGTTTGGAATTTTTAAAGGATGTATATAGTTTGCTATATTTTTAATTTGTCACAATTAAATAATACTAGGAGTAGTTATCCAACCAATAATTGAAAAGATGTCCGTAGGCATCAGAAGTAAAATATGTCTCCTCAGACCAAGAAAAATGCCAGGCACCTGAGAAGCATTCAACAAGGATTAGGGAAATTGAAAACTAGCAAATGTCATATGCTTTAAAATCATTGAATCAGGGTGTTCTCTTAAATTTCTATGAAGTAAAATATGATTTTTATCATTACTCAAATAGTGACTAAACATTTTCTAGAGTTATGACATTAGTGATTCATGTAGGGACAGGGGTTGTAGTAGCTGTCCTCCTCTTAGCCCTCAATCATTTCTCAAATGCTGTTTTCCTGTAACTCTCAAATTACTGAAGGATGACACCTTGCCAGGGCATCAGGCACATCAGCACTAAGAATCAAGCTCACTAGTTTTAATTCCCTGGCTAATTTTCTATGGCAAATATGTAATTTTTCTTTAGAAGAAACACATTTTTTGACGCAGTCATAAGTAGCTTTAGTTGTGCCATAACAAAGGTGTGACATTTTTTCTAGGCATTGAATTTATGTGGAAATCTATTTGCTACATTTGCATCTTTTTTTTTTCTGGACAGAGATGCAAGATCAAATTGTATCAAATGCACACACATTCACATGTAAGTATTTAGATAGAGTGAAGACGTAGGTACACAGATTCAGCAGTCTGAAAAGATTTACTGTGCCAGGGAGAAAATAATTACAACAAATGTTTATTAAGCAGCTTCTATGTGCTGTATATAGGTAGGTGTAGGGGCATGGGATGCAGTGTAAATAAATGTTTTGCAATCTGCCCTCCTGTAAAAGTTGGGAGAAAATAAACAGGTACATTCAATAGAGTAATTGGGGCCACTTTAGGGGCCAAAAGGCTGCAAAAAAGCAGCTTCCTAACAGTGGCTATGCCTTTCGAGGGCAAATGTCTTCTTAGTTAAAAACTGAAACATCAGTTTGAATTAGACTGTTGACAAGAAGAGGGAGGAATGATTCAGGAAGAGGGAGAGTATCTCTAAATGCTTAGATGTCAGAAAGAGCATGGTCAGTTGAGGGCACTGGAAGCGGTTTAGTATGTTTGGAACAGAGGGTGTGCAAGTTAACTAGTGAGAGCTCAGGGTTAGTGAGCTCATGAGTTGGAAGGAAAAGAAGTTAAAAGGCAGCATGCTAGATAGAATAAGTAGGTCAGTGAGTAACAACATGAAAATCAGAGGAAACATGAAACAATTATGCTTCTAATTTCATTGTGATCTTTGCTCTTCGTTGTTAATTAAAGGGATTTAGATTAAAACATGCAATTGTTATTTGAAGAACTGAGAGACAGTAAATTATTCAAAATTTATCCATTTAATTGGCCTTAATAATTAATGACTAGTAGCTTTGTATTAGATGCCTGAAGTATAAATATATCAACTAATAATACTTGAAAATATTTCACTTACAATACTGAAAGTGATTTTATGGACTTTGTAATAGATGGTCCACACGTGAACTAATTCACTCTTACCAGAGTTCTTAAATGTGCTTTCATATTTTTACATCACAGGTGGTTTTTATTTTATGAGTGTAGTGATCAAATAACTTATCCAAACTGGGACATTTAAAAGAGCAACAGAGGTATTATGAATAATTACACAAAGACAATGGACATAAACATGTACTGCCCTGGGTAAACCAAATCTATGATTCTTGTTCACAGTGTATATCACATTTTAAAGTATGCTTAAATGATTACAATTATATAAAATTTAGGATAGTGTTTTGGAATGGAACAAACTTTTTCAACTGCATGTTTTAATCTTTTCATAGTCTAAAGTTTGTGAACTATTCCATTTTGTCTTCCAAGTTACACCTTTACATTTTTATTTGTCAGCATGCTGAATAAATCACTGGGAGAAAAAGAGAAAAAAATGAACATGAGAAATCTCTAATTTGTGGCACTCACCAGCTGTTAAATACACACATAGCTTTTTAAAGCAGAATTCTTCTTCAAAATGTAGGAGAAGAGACTTCATTTTATTTTTTCTCCGCTTTTGAAACATAAATTGGGATCTAGTCCAACAAAAACTTTTAGGGCCAATGAAAAAATGAAGTATTATTAAAGTAAAAAGAGAGAGAGAGAGAAGAAATTGAAAGATTTACTATAGAGGAGAACTGCCAGATTGTAGCATTTCAATGGTCCCCTGAACAATGCCACAATACTCAGTTATTATTCAAGCAGGTGGCACATTATTATTACAGTTAGATACCTTTGCTTATTATGCCCTTGACTTCACACAAAACATAGTAATTTGAATCTAATATTGTCTGTTAAAACTTCCATTAATAAAAGAAAGTGCTATTAAAACAAAAAAAAAATCTGTGGCCTATTGTAATTGATTTTTTTTCTGTAATTGATGGACTGAGTTACACTGTACCCAGGTACACCAGGACAGCTGAATTCGATAATAAAGGAAAATAATTGATTTTTGGTTTCACATGTGACAGTTTGGAAACAGTGCTTTGTCAAATTTCTTAATTCCCATAGAAAGCAGCACCACAAGAGTCAGGTAGATCCACAATAGAAAATCAGTACACATTGTGGAGTTTTATATACTCTCATAATAATTAACATAAAATAGTCAATGTAAGAAGGTGAATCTCATGCATGGCCATTTAATACAACTGGTTAAAGTGGTGTTTTTTGTTGAATAACTCCCAAACCCTTAATAAATGAAATCCCAGGAAACTGTAGTCATCCTTCAGGCTCTCTCCGTGGTCTGACGCTATACCTCATTTCCCTGTTAACTGCTTGTAGCCTGTGCATTATGTCTCCAAGCGTTTACTTCTGTGCCTCCTTATGTTCAAACATCATTTCCCACTTTTATTCATTGACCATACTCTTTCAATCCAGCAACATTTAGCTTGGGGTGATCTCCAGAAAATCTTCCCTGAGTTTCCAGATTAATTTAAATGTCCCTATTCTGTGTGTCGTTACCGCTTTTTACACGTCTTCCTCTTAGCATTTGATGCATTTTATCTGATTTATTTGATTATATGACTGTTTCCCTTTCTAGACTATAAGTTTTTTCAAGGACAAAGATCGCTGAATAAACACAGGTTCTGTGCTAAGGACATATCTATTAATTGTTAAACTAGACAACCATTTCTAAGTATCTGCATATTTGTGAAGTGAAAAGAGCATGGCTTTAGCGTATATAAAACTAAATTTGAATCTCAACTCTGCCCCTTATTAGTAATGTAACTCTAAGGTAATCACTTACCTTATCCGAACTTTAGTTTCCCCATTTTGTGCAAATGAGAATATTACTAAAATTGCGGCAACAGTTCAATGAAAAATGCACACAAAGCAGCTTAAACAATGTTCATTCTCAGTAAGCTTCCCTACCTTACTTCCTTTTCCTTTAGTATGTTTACATTTTTCAAAAGGTAAGAAAAATACCATCGGGATGCATTTCTAGAGGTTTTTTTTGCATGCTTAAATATGAGAGAGTTATGTACTATATACAAAACTTATGCTGAATCTTTGCTTTTGTCTTTTCTTGTACTTACAATGCCCTTTTCCCAGTCCCATCTCTGCCTGGCAAATTCCTGTTTTTCCTTCACTGCTTAGATTAAATCTCACCATCTCAATGAAGTCCATCGAAATTAATTAGAAGAATATCTGCATTTTTTCAGTATCTATTTAATGATTATATTAAAATATAGATATACTATTAAACCAAAAGTGAAATGCCAAATAGATTAGCTTAGCTTTGAATTATTTCAAGTCTAAGATCATCTTTCAATATAAAGAAAATAATGAGACATATATTGAAAGCATCTTTGGATAGGCAAGACCTCTTATTTTTATGTTGGAAAAATCATTAAAAATACATTAGAATACAATTAAGTAATAAAAATGAAAACAAAATTAAAACAACATATAAATCAAGCACATTTTAGATGTCTTAATTGGTCATGTTTTTGTGGTAAAACGCTAATTCCTTTTAGTAGAAAAATAATGTTAGAAGACATAATGAATTGTGTAGAATTGTATACGCTTGACCAAGGCATTTGTTACATATAAGAATATTTAGTATTTTACCCCATAGTACTATAAAACGTTATTTTAGAGAAAAGCAATGCCATGTATTAAAAGTGGGCTTCGCTTATTTTCTTTTTAACAAAAAATTGACTGACTGCTGTCCACATTAATTTTAATTTTATAACATAAAACTGCCTACAGTAGCGTCTACAGATTTATCTGATTAGCAGTTCATAAACACAAGGAAATAAGATATTAGCTTAATTTACCTTAATAACCAAATCAAATTTCTGGTGAAAGTCTCTGTTTACTGGCTCCAGGAGACTAAGTTCTGCTGTCCTAGGATGCATATGGAAAAATCGTGGGTAATCCTCAGGAGTCCCTGGAAGACATTGAGATTTCAGTACATAATTGAGAACAATAAGTAATATGTGTATCTGCTTTTTCTATTTCCCTTCATCAGCTGAGGAACAAAGCTACAATTTCATTAGTAAATTAAGTTTCACAATTATGCAGTTCAGGGAAAGCAGACACAAATGTGGTATATAGTTATTAATAATTAGCATATCAGTAAGAAAATGGAAAATGTTTGGATGATTTTTGAAATTTTTTTTATTAAGAGGGCTCTAATTAATTTGAATCTTCATCACATGAAAATAGACATTAAGTGGAGGGAGAGTAAATTTTTTATTATGAAATTTTATTTTAATGGTGCATAAATCTTAATTATAACTGTTTGGTCTTTCAACATATATTGTAATAAATGATTAGTAATTTGTACCAAATAGTGAGATGCTTGGAAATTAATGTGAACATATTTTGTTGCATATATTATTTCTTAAGATTAATATCAAGCTAATAATGTTAATCATAGTAAATTAAATATAGGTTCTGATGATACTCTTAATGTCTACACAGGGTATTTATTTATGTATTTATTTTTGAGATAGAGCCCTGCTGTGTCACCCAGGCTGGAGTGCAGTGGCTTGATCTCTGCTGACTGAATCCTCTGCCTTCCCGGTTCAAGTGGTTCCCCTGCCTCAGCCCCCAAATAGCTGGGATTATAGGCGTGTGCCACCATGCCTGGCTATTTTTTGTATTTTTAGTAAAGAAAGGGATTTGCCATGTTGGCCAGGCTGGTCTTGAACTCCCGACATCTGGTGATACACCCACCTCAGCTTCCCAAAGTGCTAGAATTACAGGTGTGAGCCACCACGCCTAGCCAAGATGGTATTTCTTAATGTATTTTAATAATCAATATACATTTCTTCATGAAGAAATGTCTTCTAATTGTATAATCTTCCTTTGTGTACTGCAACATTCTTTTCCCAAAATGAAGAAGTCAAATCATAAAATTGTATAGTATATACATTTGTAAAATTAATAACCATAAGAGAAAAATAATATAGCTTCCTATTATGGAAACCTACTCTGTGCTAAATGCTTTATATAACTAATCATCAATAACTAAATCATTTACATTTTACAGATCATGACTTGGGAGACTGGGGAGATTAAATGACTTATTTAAGTTAAAGGGACAATCTGAAACAGAGCTTTTATTAAAAATCCAGGCTGCCAGATGTTAAAACACATCCAAAAAGGGGCTTATTGTTACTACTTATTTTCCTCAACTCTGAGACAAGAAGGGAAATTCTACTGGGCAGTAAATGAGGGGGAAAAAAAACAGAAACATATTTCACACCATTAAAACCGACTGTAAAATCTACAAATAGTCAAAATTATAGATGAAATGCAATATATGATAAAGAAGTTATCCCTCCTAATAGGAGAGTCATACAGAAAATCATAGAGTTTCATACATTCTTCATGGAATATACATGAGCAAACCCCAAATGAAGAAGATATTCATAATAATAAAAAAATGAGCACTAGTCATAGATGAAAATGTGGATAAATTTTACTCTAATGTGAGAGTGAGCAAACCTTTCCTAACTATGGCTCAAAGTCAAGAAGTCAGGAAGAAAAAGAGATAAGTTTAACTATATTGCAAAATTGCATGGTGAGACACAATGAACAAAGTAAAACCACAAGTGACAAACTGAGAAAACATTTGAAATTTATGTCGAGACGGCCGGGCGCGGTGGCTCACGCCTGTAATCCCGGCACTTTGGGAGGCCGAGACGGGCGGATCACGAGGTCAGGAGATCCAGACCATCTTGCCTGACACAGTGAAAGCCCGCCTCTACTAAAAAAAATACAAAAAATTAGCCAGCCTGGTGGCGGGCGCCTGTAGTCCCAGCTACTTGGGAGGCTGAGGCAGGAAAATGGCGTGAACCCGGGAGGCGGAGCTTGCAGTGAGCTGAGATCGTACCACTGCACTACAGCCTGGGCTACAGAGTGAGACTCCGTCTCAGAAAAAAAAAAAAAAAAAAAAAAAAGAGAAATTTATGTCCAGACAAAATGTTCATATCCCGAATATATATATATAGGTTTATAAATTAGCTAAAAATAGGGCCAGTGAGGGATTTAAAAAGTGTGGGGCTGGCTCGGCGCAGTGGCTCACGTCTGTAATCCTAGCACTTTGGGAGGCTGAGGTGGGCAGATCATCTGAGGTTAGGAGTTCGAGACCAGCCTGGCCAACATGGTGAAAACCTGTCCCTACTAAAAATACAAAAATTAGCTGGGCGTGATGGCGCACGCCTGTAATCCCAGCTACTCGGGAGGCTGAGAAAGGAGAATCACTTGAACCCGGGAGACATGGAGGTTGCGTGAGCTGAGATTGTGCCACTGCACTCCAGCCTGTGCGACAGAGCCAAACTCCGTCACAAAACAAAACAAAATGTTCGGGGCTAGAGAAAAAACTGTTCACAGAAAGAGAAAGGCAAATGACTCTAGATCATAAGCAAAGATAAGCAAAGATGCTTATCTCGATACATAAGAAGAAAACTACAAATTATTCCTACATTAAGATTTCATTAGTCACTTAGATTAGCAGTTGTCCCAGTTGGAGACTGTACTCTGTTGGCGAGCCTGCAGGAAAACAGACACTTTGGACACTGGTGGTGTTAATACAAGTGTTGTAAAATTTATGAAGGAGAGTATGACATAAGCTACCAAAATAATATTAATGTTTACTTTTTGACCCATACATCCCACATCTGGACATTTTCCCATTTATAATAACGGAAGATAAATGACCACCTAAATATACATCAATAGTGGTCTGGGTAAATAAATGGTGATACATCCTAAAGCAGATGATAATTCAAATGTAATGATAAATGATAGATATCTTTAGCTATTACTATGGAGTTATTTTCAGCTATATTAAGTAAAAAAAAGCAATTTGGAAACAAGGGCCTATAATATGCTAACCTTTAAGAAGAATACACATGCATATTTACAAAGGAATACATACACACATTTAAAAATCGAAGATAGACTGTAACATAAAAAATTGTTACTTATGAGAAAGAGAGGGAACACGTGGAGAGGATAAACACTGAAACTAAATTTCATTACCCATATCAAGTTTTTTACATTTTAGAGCTACATATGTTATATATTATTATAAAACTAATTAAATTCAAGGACTTCTCTAAAAATAAAATAAAATAATTCAATCTAAATGTATATTTAGTTGTTGGCACAAGCACAAACAAAAAGAACTACCCCAGGTGAATTTTAAAAGTAGTACTGACATCACACCCACAGTGTAATATAGGTGAAGTACCAGAGAAATTACAAAACTCAAAAAGTTAAGCTATCTACAGTAATCATATTGGTGGTATGTTGTGATTCCAAGATAGTTATAGGAGTATTTTACAATAAATAAGCACATTATTATGTGTCATTCTGATTCTATTCTTTTCAGTATTGAAAGCTGGATTCTTGGCAGGGGATGATAAAGAGATAGAAATTAAAAATTAAAGAGGTAAAATAGAACACCTATGGTTTTGATTTTGAATTGGCAGTGGAAGTTTAAACTCAGGTTGTAGTTTATCTTAAGAAACAAAATGCATACAACACAGCTCTGAATGCTGAAACACAGAACTATATATAATGGCCAATATAGAAGCGATGAATATTTCTAATGTTCAGACTATGGTTTTGAAATACTATTTACCAATAAAAGCACTTAAGATTTCTGAGAGAGAGAGCTGATTTCAGGTCCAGGGCAGAAAATCAACAAATAGCTGTGAAACATCTGCTCACACTAAGTAGCAAGAAAGAATTCCGAGACTACTAAACTGATTTGAAAAGTTTTCAAGAGCCAAAAGGCTTTTTTTTGTTTTTTTGTTTTTTAAGCTAAAGATAAGACAATTTGAGCATCAATAAGGATCATATCAGTAATGATTTGAAACAGATCAAATATGTTTAAATTCATAAGTTTACGAGTGTTGCAAAATAACGTATTGATCACTTTTGGAGCATGCTAGAGAAATATTTTGTAAATTAGAAAATAAGAAAACAGAGCATGCTTTTTCCATATGAGCTTAACATGGGGTAAACAAATAATTGATTAAAAAGTGTCTCATTAAGAAACTATTTCAGCTAATAATTTAAGAAGAGTAATAGTATCAGAGTGCCATCATTTTACAACCCCTCATAAATGAATGGATCATGGCATTGAGCACTAAATGCTGCTAATATCACAAAAAAAGAGATAAAGCCACATACATACCACTCAATAGAAGAATTAATTCAACATCATCTGCTATGGCCTGAGTTGTCCCCCTCACCATTAACAATTTTATGTTGAAGCCCTTACTCCCAATGTGACCATTATAGAGAGATAGACCCTTTTAAGAAGGTAATCAGATTAAATGAGTCTATATGGGTGGGCTCTTAAATCTGATGGGACTGGTGTTCTCTTTGTCTCTCTTTCTTTCTATCTCTTCCCTCTCTCTCTGTCCAAGGGCACACAGAGGAAAGGCCATGTGAAGACACAAGAAAGCAGCTGGAGAAGCTTCATCAAATACCAACCATGAAAGCACCTTGATCTCAGGCCTCCAGAACTGTGAGAAAACACCTTTCTGTTGCTTAAGCTACTCAGTCTAGGGTGTTTCTTAATGGTAGTGCAAGCAGACTATTATACCACCTATGAAACAGTTTTGAGAAAACCCAACAAAGAAACAAACAAAATATGTTATTTGATTAAGTGTCAAAATTTATAGGAAACATGGGACAGAGTAACATGTAAAATTAAACCAAGGAAAGTACAATCAAGATGACGAGAAACTCTATAATATAAACAACTTGACTTCTCAATAAATGAATCACAAGAAAACAATTTAAAAATAAATGGAAAGAGAACCACTGTAGATTAAAAGAGACTTAGGGCTGGGCGCAGTGGCTCACGCCTGTAATCCCAGCACTTTGGGAGGCCGAGGCGGGAGGATCACAAGGTCAGGAGATCGAGACCATCCTGGCTAACATGGTGAAACCCTGTCTCTACTAAAAAAAAAAAAAAAAAACAAAAAAAAAACAAAAAATTAGCCGGGCGTGGTGGTGGGCACCTGTAGTCCCAGCTACTGGGGAGGTTGAGGCAGGAGAATGGCGTGAACCAAGGAGGCTGAGCTTGCAGTGAGCTGAGATTGTGCCACTGCACTCCAGCCTGGGTGACAGAGCGAGACTTTGTCTCAAAAAAAAAAAAAAAAAAAAGGAGACTTAGGAGAGGCTGGGCGTGGTGGCTCATGCCTGTAATCTCAGCACTCTGGGAGGCCGAGACGGGCAGATCACCAGGTCAGGAGATCGAGACCATCCTGGCTAACACGGTGACACCCCATCTCTACTAAAAATACAAAAAAAAATTAGCCAGGCTTGGTGGCGGGTGACTGTAGTCCCAGCTACTCGGGAGGCTGAGGCAGGAGAATGGTGCGAACCTGGGAGGTGGAGCTTGCAGTGAGCCAAGATCCCGCCACTGCACTCCAGCTTGGGTAACAGAACAAGACTCCATCTCAAAAAAAAAAAAAAAAAAAAAAAAGAGACTTAGGAGAATTATCAATCCCAACGTGTGAACTTACATGAATTCTGGTCCCCTTGCATCTCTCCCTTTCCGAGAAAAACAAAAACAAAAAAACAGAAAAGAAACTAAAAAACAAAAATAATATTTGTGAGAAAGTGAAAATAAACACTGACTGATATTTAATATTAAATAAGGATTGTTATACTTTTTATTTGTGCTATGATATTGTCAGAATGCTCTAAAAATAGTTATTTTATAAGCATAAATTCAAATATTTGTGGATTAAAATTATATATTTTTTCAAAATAATGAGGAAAAAAATTGATAGACATATATATTTTAATAAGTTTGGCCAAGTCTTCATAATTCTTGAAACTAAGTGATGCCAAATGGTGATTTTATTTACTATCTCTTATTTTATATATTTTTAAATAAGAGTTTTCAAAAATGCAATATAATTTATCATTTGCTTTGGTTTGCTTTTACCCTAGCTTTCATCAGCATAGAATGGAGCAGGGCTCCTGGAAGAATGAACCCAAAATGGTGAAGATAATTGAATAATAGCCGCTGAGCTGGGAAAGATTTTCATTTCCCAGAGAGTAATACTTACTAGCTGTTAACTAGTTACTACGGTGAAAATGTTATAATCTCTTTATTTGTAAATGATCTATCTCATCTAAGTTTCAAAACAATCTTATGGGAAAGATATTTATTGCTTGATCTGTGAAGAAACCAACACTCACAGAAGTTAAGTAAAATATTCTGAACTCTCACGGCTAGTAAATGACTAGGTCAGAAGTCAAGGTATCTAAATTCAGAGTGTAAACTCTTTCCTGTTATGCTATATAGCCTGAGTTCAGTGAATTAGACACTTTGGCTTCATCGGCCATCTGTTTCTGGAAGGTTGGTTTTTAGACATCCTTACAGAATATCAACTCAACAAGAGTATAACTAGCAATTAAAAAATACATCTCCTTAGCACTTTGGGAGGCCGAGACGGGCGGATCACGAGGTCAGGAGATCGAGACCATCCTGGCTAACACGGTGAAACCCCGTCTCTACTAAAAATACAAAAAATTAGCCGGGCGTGGTGGCGGGCGCCTGTAGTCCTAGCTACTCCGGAGGCTGACGCAGGAGAATGGAGTGAACCCAGGAGGCGGAGCTTGCAGTGAGCCGAGATCGCGCCACTGCACTCCAGCCTGGGCGACAGAGCGAGACTCCGTCTCAAAATAAATAAATAAATAAATAAATAAATAAATAAATAAATAAATAAGTAAAATAAATACATCTCCTTGGACAAAGAGTAAAACCAAGTGAAATTTATTTCCCTGCATTTCTTAAAAGTGTAATGCTTTTCCAGCGAGGACTAAGAACACTTAATGTTTGTGCTTTCATTATACACAATGTTTACAGTCAACCTAAAGCTGTTCTTTAGAAACAAAAAATTAGCCGGGCGAGGTTGTGGGCACCTGTAGTCCCACCTACTGGGGAGGTTCTTTAGAAACAGCTTTGATTGCCTAAATTTAGATGTAAAATTGATAACTATGTTTATTATCACAATTATAAATAATACGGTGAATTTCAGCATTATAATTATTAGAGCCAACATAATTAGTGGTTGCCAAAACATTTATTTTAATTTTTATATATGCTAAGAAAATTCTACGTTTTTCACTTTTTCAGTATTATAGAGGAAATGGCAACCTAAATTAATCCCTTGGTGAAAAGTTTACAATTTTGAAGATTACGGGTTTTCTGTAGGATAAAGAAAAAATGCTACACAATTATCTTCATATATTTAAAATGTAGAATTTTAATTACACGTGTTGATCAAGATAGTATCACCATGACTAAGATAGTAAGCCTATCCATAATTGCCAGAAATTTCCTTATGACAATGTCTCCTTTCTCTCCCCATTCATATTTCTCACCCTATGCAAACACTGATCACTTTCTGTCTGTCAGCATAATAGGAATGGGATCATTTATATAGTATGTATTCTTTTTTTTTTTTTTAATTTTGAGAAAGAGTTTTGCTCTTTTTTCTAGTCTGGAGTGCAATGGTGCTGTCTTGGCTCACTCCAACTTCTGCCTCCTGAGTTGAAGCAATTCTCCCGCCTCAACCCCCAGAGTAGCTGGGATTACAGGTGCCCACCACCACGCCCAGCTAATTTTTGTATTTGTAGTAGAGACGGGGTTTCACCATGTTGGCCAGGCTGGTTTCGAACTCCTGCCCTCAGGTGATCCACTGGCCTCGGCCTCCCAATGTGCTGGGATTACAGGCATGAGCCACCCTGCCTGGCCTTACAGTATATATTCTTTTCGTAGGTGTGTCTGGCTTCTTTCAATTAGCATAATGATTTTGAAGTCCATGTTGTTTCATTTATCAATAGTTTATTTATTTCTATTGCCTAGGTGTTATTCTATTGTATGGATATGCTACAACTCATTTATCTATTCATACATTGATGAACACTTGAGTTGCCTCCAGCCACAAATAAAGATGCTATGAACTTTCCTGTATACCTCTCTGAATGAATCTATGCTTTCATTTATCTTGAGCAAATATCTAGGAGTGGAATGGCTAGGCCATATGATATGTCTATGTCTAAATGTTTTATTAAGAATTTTTGGGCAGGGAACAAGTCTGTTAATTTTCAGTTACGTATAGGTTTGTGTAGTCAATACCACAATCGGGATATAGAATGGTTTTATGATCAAATAACTACTTTGTGTTTTCCTTCCCCAAAGTTAAATCTTTAGCAATGACTGATTTGTTCATCACCACCGTACTTTCATCTTTTTGAGAATGACATTTAGATGGAATTGTGTAGTATAAAGATTTGGAGACTGGCTTCTTTCAACTCAGTATAAAGCATTAGAGATTCCTCCAAGTTGCTGTGTATCAATAATATTATATTTTCATTGTTGAGTAATGTTTAACTTTTAAAGAAATTGCCAAATTATTTTTCCAATGTGTCTGTACCATTTTACATTCTTACCAGCAATGTATGAGCATTTCAGATCTTCCACATTTTCACCAACACTTGATATTGTCAGTCATTTAAATTTTGGCCATTCTGGTGTGTATGTAGTGATATTCATTGAGGTATTAATTTGCATTTCCCAATTAGCTAATGACATTGAGCAACTTTTCATATTCTTATTTTGTTTATAAATCTGTAATAATTTGTTAAAACTTTCTGCCATTTTATAATTGTCTCATTTTTATTAAATTGTGTTTTCATATATTCCCCAAACAAGTCACTTGTTGGATACATTTCGCAAATACATTCTCCTTTTCTGTCAGTTCTTTTTCAGTCTATTGTCAGTGCCTTTTGAAAAGCAAATGCGTTTTTACTTTGATGAAGTCAAATTTTAAATTTTTTCTTTTATAGATTTGCATTTGTTACATTTAAGAAATTGTTGCCAGCCGGGCACAGTGGCTCACGCCTGTTATCCCAGCACTTTCGAAGGCTGAGGTGGGGGGATCACCTGAGGTCGGGAGTTTGAAACCAGCCTGACCAACATGGAGAAACCCCGTCTCTACTAAAAATAGAGAATCAGCCAGGCATGGTGGCACTTGCCTGTAATCTAGGTACTCGAGAGGCTGAGGGAGGAGAATTGCTTGAATCTGGGAGGTGGAGGTTGTGGTGAGCCGAGATTGTGCCGTTGCACTCCAGCCTGGGCAACAAAACTACGTCTCAAAAAAAAAAAAAAAAAAAAGAGAAATTGTTGCCAACCCTAAGGTCATAAAAATCTTTACCAATATTATCTTTTAGATGCTTTATAGTTTTAGCTCTTACATTATGTATAGAAAGTCTTTCAAGTTGGTTTCTATAGATAGTGTGAGGTACGGATTGAAGTTTATTTGTTTACATATGGCTGTCCAATTGTTCTGCAATGTTGGTTGTAAAGATTAACTTTTCCTTCTTTTAATTGTCTTTTGCTTCATATTATTTTTGAAGTGTTTATACCTTAACAGTTTTTTCTCATAGCTGTATTTGCCTATCATTTATTAGCATAATACTTCTGATTCCCTACATATAGTAAATTGAAGGAAATGTGGATGCCTGACCTAAACTATATAATTACCACTTAATCTTTCAATAATTTTTATTTAGAGCAAAGAATCAGAAGATGGATGTACAATCTGTACCACAAAAATAATGGGCATCTAGAGGAAAGGCCCTCTAATCCCTCATCTTGAAATTCCTGTTTCTGCTTCTTAAAATGTTATTGTTTTTGACAGTTCCTTGAATTCTGGAAGAAAACAAAGTCCTTTCAATAAATTTCCTTAAACGCCAAGATGAACTTAAGTTCACCTCTGTATTTTTTACCCAAAGAGGCCCATTCAGGAAAACATTTGTTTTTAATGCTTCATACATTTGAAAATGCACATCTAATATACTTCAAAGGAGCACTACCTCAAAAAATACAGTATCAAATTTTTCCCTTCACCACTGAAAATGTTTATCTTTACATATAAAATTAGTAAGCTGATTAACACAGAAATAAAAGAGAACACTGTCTTCTGGGTGCCATGAAGATGTGTGGTAATTCCTCAGATTTTGACATTGTAGATATATAGAAATTATAGTCAGTTTCAATAAAACACTGCTAATGAAAACACCCACAATTTCCTTTGGTAGAACAAAAACAATTATAACATGTAACTTATCTCTCCAGGTAATTTTTTTGTGAAAACCTTTTAATGAACCATGAATGCTGGATACCCTGCAGAAGCCAAGGTATTGAAATGTAAAAACATTGTACGAGAATAGAAACACATGTCTAAGTTCAAGGTCCCTACAGAATCCCTTATTTATCCCACTTAGAAAATGTAATATAAACTCTATTTAGCAAAGCTTAATTCATCTAAAAATATAGCTGCTTCTGAACCATCTCTGAAGCTCTGGGTTTTATTTCTTTTTAGTCATTCCCTTATTTGATCTTGGGATTAATTATATTAATATTCCATTCCTCTGACATTAAATTCACCTGCTACCCCTTTTACATAACTAAAATTTTGTTGATAATTTTAACCATTATTTTCATCTATGCCCTAACAACACATTTGTTTTTGTATCAAGTTATCCCTAGGTTCAAACATATATTAGAAAAATTACCTCTAATTTCTCATTATTTTCTTCCATTAATTTTAACTTTAGCACTTTTTCTTTTCAGCTAATATGTTCTCTTAGTGCATTCTTTGATAATTCTAAATGCAAAAAGTAAACTACCTTTGTCCTGCTTTTACAGCTTCCAAAAATCATTAGTTCTAAATCTGTCTCCTTTGCAAAACTTCTTTTTCAGCTACTTGTTATAAATAACGAACTTCATTTTCTTATCGAAAATGTTTTTAATAACTGTGTAATAGCCACCAAAATAATTTAAATCCATTTTTACATATTATTAGGGAAAACTAAAATTCTTATCTTAGTAGCCAATATCTCAACTTCAAAAAATCTTTACCAAAGATTTTATTGGGTTGCTTTTCCTATGCATATTTATGACAATGCTTCTGATTGTATAGTTCAGGTATACCTACACTAGAAAGACCGAGTTCTTGTCCCAGATCTTCTGAATCAGAAGCTCTGAAAAGGGAGGTCAAGAGAATGCACTTTGAACAATCTCACTGAATTCTTGTATCCTTTAAAGTTTGAAAACCACCTCTTCATGGTACATGATACGTTCATATCTGTTATTTAAACATAAAAATAATTACAAAATTCAGAAACTATGTTATTACTAATAGAACCAACATTTTTTCTGACTACGTAGATTCAAATCCCCAAGTTACTTTCACTAGCCAGTTCTCTACACATTTTCCAAGTGATTCTTCCTTACCTTAGAACGTCTCTCTGATGTGTTCCTTTTTCATAGTCCTAATCTCTTACCTTACTTAGACCCTTGTCATTTCATACTTGTACCACGGTGATAGCCTCCTAATATCTTCTGACATTCCATTCCCTTATAATCACTGAAGGAAACTTTCTAAAACGCTACTTTTATTGCCCAATTATCTAGACAAAATTTTATCTATTGTGTACTGGGGTAACCCCTAAAATAGAATTGAGAATAAAAGGTATAAATTTATTTTTCTTTATGATTGATTCAATTTACATATAGTGAAATGCACAGATCTTAAGCTTTAACGTTTTAGGGGCATAGACCCATGCTATTACCACTCCTATTCAAACTTTATATTTATTTTTAAATAAAATAATACAAAAGTAAACTTAGCTAATGCTTTATATACTGACTGACACTGTGTCTCTGTATGTTTTAGGGACAAGCAAGGAATCTTGAGGGAGATGTGACAAGTGTACAGTGTGAAGGGATAAGCAGCAGTGTATTATTCAGAGTTCTTTAGAGAAACAAAACAAATAGGCTATAAGGACATATTAGTACTGACAGTGAGAAAGAAAGAGAGAGAGAGAGGGATTGATTCTGTCAATCAATTGGCTGATTGATTATGCAAATTTGTTGTTTTAGTCCATTTTCACACTGGTGAAAAGACATACCCAAGACTGGGCAATTTACAAAGGAAAAAGGTTTAATTGGACTTACAGTTCCACGTGGCTGGAGCCTCACACTCATGGTGGAAGGCAAGGAAAAGCACGTCACTTCTTACATGGATGGCAGCAGGCAAAGAGAGAGAGAGCTTCTGCAGGGGAACTCTGCTTTTTAAAACCATCATATCTCGTGAGATTATTCACTGTCATGAGAACAGCAACGGAAAGACTTGCCACCATTATTCAGTTATCTCCCACATGGTCCCTCCCACAACATGTGGGAATTTAAGATGAGATCTATGGCCAGGCATGGTGGCTCATGCCTATAATCCCAGCACTTTGGGAGGCTGAGGCAGGCAGATCACCTGTGTCAGGAGTTCGAGACCAGCATGCATAGCATAGTGAGATCCCATCTCTAGGTGAGATTTGGGTGAGACACAGCCAAACCATATCATTCTGCACTTGACCTCTCCCAAATCTCACATCCTCACATTTCAAAACAATTCATGCCTTCTCAATAGTCCTCCAAAGTGTTAACCCATTTCAGCATTAACTCAAAAGTCCACAGTCCAAAGTCTCACCAGAGACAAGGCAAGTTCCTTCCACCTATGCATCTGTAAAATCAAAAGCAGGCTAGTTACTTTCTAGATAGAGTGGGGATACGGGCATTGGATAAATACAGCCATTCCAAATGGGAGAAATTGGCCAAAACGAAGGGTCTACAGGCCCCCAAGTCCAAAATCCAGCAGGAAAGTCAAATCTTAAAGCTCTGAAATGATCTCCTTTGACTCCATGTCTCACATCCAGGTCACACTGATGTAAGTGGTGGGCTTCCACAGCCTTGGACAACTCCACCCCTGTTGCTTTGCAGAGTGTAGCCCCCTCCTGGCTGCTTTCATGGGCTGGGGTCGGGTGTCTGTAGTTTTTCCAGAGGTACTGTGTAAGCTGTTGGTGGATCTACCATTCTGGGGTCTGTAAAATGGTGGCCCTCTTCTCACAGCTCCACTAGGTGGTGCCCCAGTAGGGACTCAGTGTGGGGGCTCTGACCCCAAGTTTCCCTCCTGCACTGCACTAGTGGAGGTTCTTCATGAGATCCCTGCCCCTGAAGCAAACTTCTGCCTTAACATACAAGGCATTTCCACACATCTTCTGAAATCTAGGTGGAGCTTCCCAAACCTCAATTCTTGACTTCTGAGCACTCACAGGCTCAATACTTTGTGGAAGCTGCTGAAGCTTGGGGCTTACACCCTCTGAAGCAGGGCCTGAGCTCTATGTTGGCCCCTTTCAGCCACAGCTGGAGCAGCTAGGACACAGGGCAACAAGTCCCAAGGCTGCACAAGCATGGGGATCCTGGGCCCAGCCCACAGAACCATCTTTTCTCCCCAGGCCTCCAGGCTGGTGGTGGGAGGGGCTGTCATGAAGACCTCTGAAATGTCCTGGAGACGTTTTTCCCATTATCTACAGGATTAACATACAGCTCCTCGTTACTTATGCAAATTTCTGCAGCCAGCTTGAATTTCTCCTCAAAAAATGAGATTTTCTTTTCTATCAAATTATCAGGCTGTAAATATTCTGAACTTTTATGCTCTGTTTCCCTAATAAAACTGAATGCCTTTAACAGCACCCAAGTCACCTCTTGAATGCTTTTGCTACTTAGAAATTTCTTCCACCAGATAACCTCAATCATCTCTCAAGTTCAAAGTTCCACAAATATCTAAGGCAGGGGCAAAATGCTGCCAGTCTTTTTGCTAAAACATAACAAGAGTCACCTTTGCTCCAGTTACCAACAAGTTCCTCATCTCTATCTGAGACCACCTCAGCCTGGTTTTCATCATTAATATCATTATCAGCATTTTGGTCAAAGCCATTCGGTAAGTCTCTAGAGAGTTCCAAACTTTCTCGCATCTTCCTATCTTCTACAGAGCCCTGCAAACTGTTCCAATCTCTGCCTGTTACCCAGTTCCAAAGTCGTTTCTGCATTTTTGGGTCTCTTTTCAGCAACACCCCACTCCTGTTACCAATTTACTGTATTAGTTCATTTTCACACAGCTGATAAAGACATACCAGAGACTGGGCAATTTTCAAAAGAAAAAGGTTTAATTGGACTTACAGTTCCACGTGGCTGAGGAAGCTTTACAATCATGGTGGAAGGCAAGGAGGAGCAACCCACATCTTACATGGATGGCAGCAGGCAAAGAGAGAACACTTGTGCAGGGGAACTCCTCTTTTTAAAAAAAAATCATCAGATCTTGTGAGACTTATTCACTATCACAATAACAACACAGGAAAGACTTGGCCCCATTATTCAATTACCTCCCACCTTGTCCCTCCCACAACACATAGGAATTCAAAATGAGATTTGGGTGGTGACACAGCCAAGCGATATCATTTGTTATGAATGCTAAGAGCATCTACTCTCTGCAAATTAGAGAACCAGAAAAACTGGTGGTGCATTTTTTATCAGGTCCAGAGGCCTAAGAACCAGGGGAGTCATTGGTATAAGTCTCAGAATCTGAAAGCCTGAGAACTAAGCACTGTAATGTTTGATGGCAGGAGAAGATGGACGTTCCAGTTCAAGAAGAGAGAACTCATCCTTCCTCTGCCTTTTTGTTCTATTCAGGCCCTCAATGGACTGGATGATACCTGCCCATATTGGTAAGAGCAGATCTTCTTCACTCAGTCTTCTGATTCAAATATTAGTCTCTTTTTGAAACACTCTCTTAGACAGACCCAGAAATAATGTTTTACCAGCTCTTTCTACATGCCTTAAATCAGTCAAGCTGTCAAATAAAATTAAGCATCACAAGCAGCCTTCTCTCTTGTCTGTTTGCTTTCAACACATTGCAGTGACTTTTAGTTTACATTTGGCCAGTTAAAGGGATCTGTATTTTATAATATTAATTTTACACCAAACTAATGCTCAAAAAAATGAATAAATAGCTGAGAAATATCTCTGCAAATAAACCTGAGATTAAAGGTAACACTAATGATATGTGTAGAAGTGAACACCAACAGAGATGGAAAAATCCCTTCCCATTCCTCTGCTAAAACAGCTTAATCAGTCATGTTATTAGGTCAAAACCGTGGAGATCCAGGCAGACCGGAAATAAAGTCAGACTGACAATTTTGATGTAATTAATACAATTATTTATAATGTTGACTTATATATAATACAATTAATCATTTTCTATGTGATATATGAACATTGAAAATTTAATGACTGATAAAATACATGTATAATTCTTAAATATTAGAGTGTGTACTCAAAAATATTTTTTAATTCATGGGATGAAGGATCATAAAAGTTATGTATTCATTATAAAATGTAGCTATCATTAACTAAATGATATGGTTTTGGCTGTGTCCCCACCCAAATCTCATCTTGAATTGTAACTCCCACAGTTTCTGAATCTCATGGGAGGAAGCTTGTGGGAGGTAATTGAATCATGAAGGCGGGTCTTTCCTGTACTCTTCTCGTGAAAGTGAATAAGTCTCACAAGATCTGATGGTATTAAAAGTGGGAGTTTCCTTCACAAGCTCTCTTTTCTTATATTTTGCCATGTGAGACATGCCGTTCACCTTCCGCCATGATTGTGAGGCCTTCCTGAACATGTGGAACTGTAAATCCATTAAACCTCTTTCTTTTGTAAATTATGTAGTCTCAGGTATGTCTTTATCAGCAGCATGAAAACGGAATAATATACTAACATACACACACAATCTTGCCTAAAGTTATTTATGTCTTAAAGTTCAGAGCTCCACTTTATGAACCCTCTCATCTCCTTGAATTACTTGAATTAGATCAAAGATGGAAAACATTTTTTGTTTCCTAACAAGTAAAATAATCTTTTTTTCCCCTCACCTTAAATCTGGGCAGGAATTGTCCTTGCTTTGACCAGTATATGATAGTAGATTATTTCTACTGATTCAGTTCTGGGATCAGGCCTTCAGAAGTTTGATAGCTTTCACTTTTGCCTTCTTAAAAGGCAGGCATACATGCAATTAAATGGACTATTTTAAATAAATTCTATAAAGAACATTTTCTTTAAAAAATAATTTCCAAAATGTAGAAGTACATTAAAATTAGAAGAAGCATTCTAGAGAATGGTAAGGCATGAGGAAAAATACACCTTGGGGGATATATTTAAGGTTATATAATGTTTGAAAAAACCACATGTGCTCAGCTATAAGTGTTCAGTTATAAGAACCCAGTTGTGTAGCACAAGGATCATGAAACAAAAGAAAATATAAACAAAAAATAAGAAAACAAAAAAGGAAACAGAAAAATATGGACTCTCTGATAACTGTGAAATATGAAATACAAAATGAAATATGGTAACTGTGAAATATGAAATACACAATAGAAGAAATGTTGGGCCCATGAACATTTTCATCCCTTCTCAATGTGATATATGCATTGAGGAAGGGACAAAAAATGTGTTTTTCTCTTCACATTTCCAATATGAGTATACTGTATACTTGGCCATGAAAGTGCTAATACTTGATAATACCTACCACAGTTAATGAAGGTTGATAAAAAAATTTAAACCAAGGTTTCTGGCTCTAGTATCTCCATTCTTAATCAATGGGTGACACCAACATTTTAGTTGCCAGAATATTCATAATATTATTATAATCATACTTTGAAAAATTAGAAAAAATACTGTTAGCAATATTATATTTATGTTTTAGTATGTAACATATATCTCATCTATATGATATTTAATACATATTACTTTTCACACATTAGCTGCTCATATAAGAGTACTTAATACTACAAGCTACTGTTACAAGCTAAAGTCAGCAGACTTTCTTATATTATTAGAAATAAATACACATTGTATGATATCATTATTAATGACAGTGCTGCAACAGAGCTTGATAGCTGTTAACATTTACATTAAAAATGGTCAGACTTGATAACACAATTAGAAGCAGAAATTTCAGCTACATATATGATTAAGGGGTCTACAGATTATGCTTTTCTTTCAGAGACCTTCATGGCAGGTTTCTCCACCATAGGCCTTGAGACTTAGGAGGAAAGAATGGTTTTGTGGGCCAGGACCACGGCTCCACTGCCCTGTGCAACCTCAGGACACTGCTTCCTGCATCCAGCCATTCCAGCTCTAGCCATGGCTACATGGCCCCCAGATATGCCTCAGGCCTCTGCTTCAGAGCATGCAAGCCATAGCCTTGGCAGCTTCCATGTGATGTTAAACCTGTGGACACACAGAGGGCAATGGTTGAGGCTTGGAAGCCTCCACTTACATTTCAAAGGATGTATGGAAATGTCTGGATGTCCAGGCAGAAATCTGCTGCAGGGGTGGAGCCCTCATGGAACACCTCTACCAGGGCAGTGTGGAAGGGAAATGTGAGGTGGGAGCCCCCACACAGAGTTCCCACTGGGGCACTGCCTATTGGAGCTGTGAGAAGAAGGCAACTATTCTCCAGACCCCAGAATGGTAGATCCACTGACAGCTTGCAATGTGCACCTGGAAAAGGCACAAGCACCAAACACCAGCCCATGAAATCAGCCAATGGGGCTGTACTGTGCAAAGCCACAGAGGCAGAAATACCCAAGGCCTTGGGAGCCCACCCCCTGCATCAGTGTGGCCTGGATATGAGACATGAAGTCAAAGGAGATTATTTTGGAGATTTAAGATTTAATGACTGCCCTCCTGGGTTTTGGACTTCCATGGGGACTGTAGACCCTTTGCTTTGGCTGATTTCTCCTTTTTTGGAATGGGTGTATTCACCCAAAGCCTGTACCCCCATTGTATCTTGTAAGTTTTTTCAGGCTCATAGGCGGAAGGGACTTGCCTTGTCTCAGATGAGATTTTGGACTGTGGACTTCTCAGTTAATTCTGAAATCAGTTAAGACTTGGGGAACTGTTGAGAAAGGATGATTGTATTTTGCAATGTGAGAATGACATGAGATTTCAGAGGAACCAGGGGTTTCATGATATGGTTTGGATTTGTTTCCCCACCCAAATCTCATGTTAAATTGTAATCTCCAATGTAGGAGGAGGGACCTGGTAGGAGGTCATTGAATAATGGGGGGAAATTTCCCCCTTGCTGTTCTGGTGACAGTGGTGTCAGTGAGTGAGTTCTCATGAGATCTGGTTGTTTAAAAGTGTGTAGTACCACCCCTTCTCTCTCCTGCTCTGGCCACGTAAGATGCGCCAACTTCCCCTTCAGCCATGATTGAAAGTTTCCTGAGGCTTCTCCAGCCATGCTTCTTGTACAGCCTGTAGAACTGTGAGCCACTTAAACCTATTTTTATTTATAAATCACCCAGTAACAGGTAGTTATTTATAGCAGTGCAAGAACAGACTAACACAGAAGAGGTATTAAATATTCTCTAATGGTAGAATTTACCAGTAAAGCATCTGATCCAGAATTCTTCTTTGTGGGAAGATCTTTTTGATTACTAAGTCAGTCTATTAACTTGTTAAAAGTCTACCCCAATTTTTTATTTTTTCTGAAGTCAGTTTGAATAGTTTGATTCCAGGAATTTGTCCATTGCATCCATTTGTCTAGTTGGCATAAATTGTATATAATATTCCCTCATAACATTTTTTTATTTCTCTAAGCTAAATAGAAGGTCCTCTCTTTCATTCCAAGTTAGTAAATTGCATCTTATCTCTTTTATTCCTGGTCAGTCTAGCTAGAGGTTTGTTAATTTTGTTGATGATTTCAAAGAATTGATTTTGGCTTCATTTATTATCTCTACTGATTTCCTAATCCCTCTTTTATTACTTTCCACTGTAGTCTCTATTATTTCTATTGTGTTGTTTAGCTTTCTTTCTTTTTTTTTTTTTTTTTTTTTAAAGAGAGTCACCTCCAATCTCCTCCATCACTCAGGCTGGAGTAAAATGATGTGATCGTAGCTCACTGCAGCCCTGCAGCCTTGACTTCCCAGACCCAGGTGATTCTCCCACCTTAGCCTCCTGAGTAGCTGAGGCCACAGGTGCACACCACTATGCCCAGCTAATTCTTGTATTTTTTGTAGAGACAGGGTTTCGCCATATTGCCCAGGCTGGTCTCAAACTCCAGGTCTCAAGCAATCCAACTGTCTCGGCCTCCCAAAATGTTGGAATTACATGTGTGAGTCACCACAGATGGCCTCCCTTCTGCTCTTTTTCTTTAGTTTGCTTAACATTTCCAGTGTCTTTGTGACAAATATTACATTATTGATTAGAGATTAAAATACATGTTACAAAGTATTGTTATTTTTATTTGTCTCAAAGTATTTTTCTGATTTTATTTCTTCCATGAGTCATTGATTAAAGAATGTTTAACTTCCATACACTTGTGAATTTCCAAAATTTCCTTCATTATAATTTCTAATTGCATTCCATTTTTGTCAGAGAATAGAGTTTGTATTATTTCAATCATCTTCAATTTAACGATATTGGTTTTATGGCCTAACATGATCTATACTGAAGAACATTCTAGGTGCACTTGAGAAGAATGTGTATTCTGCTGTTAGGGGGTAGAGTGTTTTGTAGATATCTTTTAGGTCTAGCTGCTTTATGGAGTTGTTCCATCTTGACCTTAAGTTACTGCATTTGCAGAGTTTCAAGGTTAGTCAGAGATGAGAGCTTAGGGCCTTCCCAAGTGCTTCCTGAGTATATATACAGCTTGCTTTTATCTTTTTAGAATCCCAGAAATATGTTAAACTTTTTAAAACTCCCTATGAACATCATTATCTAGCTTTTCCTTTAAAGACTTTTGGCTAGTCAATAATTCTGCCATTGATGTTCATGACAGTAGAACCATTGAAGAGGTTGACAACAGCCCTTGGATGACCTCGTCATAGACATCAGCATCCGTATCCTCACATATAGTAAACAGAGACTGTCTATAACAAATGGAAGCAGGAGAG